>NC_000011.10:98081515-98384545 GCF_000001405.40 Homo sapiens | reverse complement strand
GATCACCTGAGGTCAGGAGTTCGAGACCAGCCTGGCTAACATGGTGAAACCCCATCTCTACTAAAAATACAAAAATTTTCCAGGCATCATGGCAGGCACCTGTAATCCCAGCTACTCGGGAGGCTGAGGCAGGAGAATTGCTTGAACCCGGGAGGCAGAGGTTGCAGTGAGCCGAGATTGTGCCACTGCACTCCATCCTGGGCAACAGAGCAAGATTCCATCTCAAAAGAAGAAAAAAATAGTCATGTTGACCCCATAGAATGAATTGAAAAGTAGATTCATATGTACAGTACTGTTTTCCACCGCTGCTCTGATCTTTGTCATTTCCTTCTGTTTGTTTCTTCTTAAGATAGAAGCTGATCTCTAATATAAGCATTTGGTGCCATAATTTTCCTTTAACTACTGGTGTAGTCAAATCCCAAAAGTGTTCATCTATTGGAGGGGCAAGAGTGACACTGGGGCTTGTCTAGAACGAGGATTTCTAGGAGTGGCAAGTGAGAGGCTGAAGATAGATAGGGAGGTCATGGTGGACTCAGAAGAGCAGGGCTTGAGGGAGCTGGTTCCTCTGTTGTGGTGACCATTGCAGCCTTACCTGAGATGGCAAACAGGAGGGCTGGATCAATCCTACATTGTTGGCACAGGTCTGGATTGCCTTGCAAAGTATAGAAAACCTGCACATGTGGGGCCTCAGGCCATCTATCCTTATGTGTACAGAAAAGTTACAATTGCCAGATGGTATAGAAATGAATGATTCCTTCCTGAAGCCAAGCCAGTCCTTCCTGTAAATCATAATTTGGCCTAACCTTTGTGCAGAGGGCTATGAGGCACTTTTCCTCCAGATTCTGAGGATCAAATCAGTCCCAATGGTTCAGGATACATTCCAGAAGATTATAAGCTGAGGGTGGTGAAGAGAACTGGTTGCCCATCCTGAAAGGCAGGGAATAAAAGCATCCCTCATTCCCTTCCTTCTTTCAGTGAAAACTCAGAGTGTGACAGAAAGAGAAAGTGAGCATCCTCCCTTCACTCTCCATGCCTTATCTCTGAGTCCTGGCGACCTTGCCACGTGCCAGCCATAGGTACCAATGTGCCAGGTACTCATGAAGCAGGGAAAACCTGGGAGGTTTCTGTCTGTGTAGCTCTTATCTTGGAACTCTTCCCTATTAAAATCTAGTCTTCTTGGCCTCACCATACATCTAGCTTTCTCATCATTTCAGTGAAAAGACCAGACTCCTCCTTGGTTTTCTTATACTGCAGCCTAGAAACTCTCTCCAGGCAATCATAAGGCTTGTTTCTGTTTCTTTATTTGTTTGTTTACTATCTATCAAGGATCAGTGCCCTCTATGCCTAATATCCAGTGTCTGGAAAACCATTGCTTTGTATCCTTTCATCCATTTTTAAATTTTGTTTGGATAAGATGGTAAATCTGGCCCCTGCTACTCCATGTTTTTTCAAAGTCTGAGTTATTTGTTTATATTCTTCCAAATAATGTATATGTTTGTTTACGTTAGACAATTGACAGGCACAACAAACTATAGATTATTTCAAATTAAATTTTAATCTTGGCTTTTTAGGCCTATACACAGTTAAATCTCATTCTGATAAAGCCGAATATATCTGCTATCTTCCTCTACAGTCCTTTGCTGGAGAACTCAGCATTAGAATGGGAGAGAGATTAGTTTGACCTTCCACCCTGCTGGTATCCAGATTTGCCTCCTAATCCTATACTATTTATTATATGAAATTCTAACTCCATGTCATTTAGGGTTGGAAAATGTTCTACTAATGAAATGTATTAATTCCTCCTCATTTATTCTCAAATTTAATTTTTTAACATGGCCATGTGACAATCGCCAAATGCTACACACACACACACACACACACACACAAACACACACACATTAAATGTATACATATATATTATGTATATATGTTTGCATATTATACAATATATACATATAATATGAGTGTGTGTAAATATGTATATTATATGTATATAGATTATATATATAACAGCATTTTAATAATTCTGGACAAGATGCACTCTCCAAATATCTAATCTTCCACAGAACCATCAGAAAAGCCTTATATTTCTATGTTAAATTATCCTGATTCTCATGGGGAGATATAAGGGAATGGCACTTTCATGATAATTTGTTTTATTTTTAGATATTGCTCATTTTAGCTTCCTAATAGGTTGCCAGGAATTTTACATCTATTTCCAATTATGAAATTACTCTTGCCTAGTTTGGTATCAATAGCATATTCAACTGATAAAAGGTTGTGTAAGCTTTGATATGGTTGGTACTTCATTTAACTTCAATCCTAGAAAGAATTTGCTTGGAAACCCTTTTATTTGGATTTATTTTTATCTATTCTGTTGAGGTTTATTGCATTAAGTTAATTATGCAATTTTTTGAGACACATTTTTTTATCTCAAAAATAAATCTCATCCATTTTTTAAGTTATTTATCTTCTTCAATTGCACTCTTTCTCTATATATGTGATATATCTATATATATCTCCAGTTAAAGATAGCTCAATATCTTCACTTTGATCTCACTTAAGTATTGTTAAATTAATATGATAATTACTAAGCTTCAAATACTCCCATTACTTATGACATGTTGATTTACATCTCAGAATAATGTAGCACTTAATTGCTCAACAAAGAAATATGAACATTCCTATCTCTTTCTTCACTCTTTTCCTCACATTTATGCTATTGCCAAATTTTATAAATCCCCCAAAATATTTTTCAAATTACTACTTATACAAAATCTCTGTAATTTTGCTCATCATCACTGTCGCTGCTTATGGCTTGTTTTCTAATTACCAACTCATCTTTAAGACTACAGTTAGAGAGCTCTCCCAAACTATAAATATCGTCGAATCATTCACTTCACTAAATAGTTCAGAGTTCTCAAATTGCCCTTTATATCAAATAATGATATCCCTCTGAGTTGCCTCTCCAGCCACATTCATGTTCCCGCTACTATGCTCATCTTATAATTCCTCACATTTGTCATAATCCCTCCCAATCCTCAGCCTTCTACCAGATACCTTTTCCTTCCTGGTACACTATCTCTTCAAACACTACCTTACTCATTTTTTTTCAAACTGTCTTATTTCTTAAATGTTTCTATAGAAGTCTAGCTTATGCTTTACATATTTATGTTTATGTTTACATAATTTAAATTAATCCCCTTAGCATAATACCAATCATACTTCAGCATTATTACTTGCTCCACATCCATCTGTTATGCTATGAGGTAAGGTCTATAACAACATGGAGCATATCCATCTTACTTAACTCTCTTCTATGCCTACATTTTATCTTGACTGTAAAATGTAGGGATTCTTGGATTAATAGGATATAATTAGTAACATAATAGAATCACAGTTAAATTGATATAATAGTAGAGTTAAAGTATTTATTAGGAGGTAAAGTTTTAGGAAGGACTTCATGTAGAATGTGTTATTTTTATTTGCATGTTGGTGTTGAAAGGTCAGTAAATTATAAAAATGAGGACATGGAAATCTGAGAAGAGAATTTATGAAGGTATGAAGTCTGTATAATGTATTTCATAAGTGGAAATAAAAAATGGAATATGGAAGTTGTAAAAGGAAGTAGTGGAGAGTAAATTTGAAAAAGAAAGATTTTCTTTCCACATCTTGAAGATTTTTAAATAATTAATAGAAGCAGGTATTGGGAGGAGCAAGCTGAAATTTTTGGCAATGGAATGAATTACATCAGTATCAATTTAATCCTACAAAATAGTAACATAAGACTATAAAAATTCATATATGTATATATACACATACATACACACAATAGGTTACAAAAATTATTTTTAAGAAGTAATATGTATGGGCCGAGCGAAGTGGCTCACACCTATAATCCTAGCATTTTGGGAGGCTGAGGCGGGTATATTACTTGAGGTCAGGAGTTTGAGAACAGCCTGGCCAACATGGTGGAACCCTGTCTCTAATAAACATACAAAACTTAGCCGGGCATGGTGGCGGGTGCCTGTAATCACAGCTACTTTGAAGGCTGAGGCAGGAGAAACATCTGAACCCATGAGTGGGAGGTTGCAGTGAGCTGAGATTGCCCCACTGCACTCCAGCCTGGGTGACAGAGTGAGACTCTGTCTCAAGAAAAAAAAAAGAGGTAATATATGGGATGCTATATGATGTATAATGATTCTTTACCTATCATATGCTGAAATTAACTATTTACTTCTATCTCCTATCTTCCCAAATTTCTTTCCAAACATTAGACAATTAGTGTACATGTCTTCTGGCAATTAGTGTACATGTCTTCTGGCTAAAGGAAATGTCATATTTAAAAAGAATCTAGTAACCCTCCAAGCTTAAAATATAATAATGAAGTTTGATATAAACTGTAAAAATAATTGGCGAATTCCTCACTGTGAGAAATCTCTCAGTAAGGTACGAAGTCAGAAATTTCGAATTGTTTGAACTGTAATTAGTAACTAATAAGCATTGTACAGATAAATCCAAAGAAGGAAGCTACTCTAATGATTTCTCTTTTCCTTGGCCAAGCAGTCTTTGGGAAAACAATTATCTTAATTAGCTCAAATGATGGTTTGCAGGTGTCAGAACCTAAGGCAGGAGGGATGTACTGGGAACACTCAGTGGAGGCAGCAGTGCATATTTTAACTAAAGCATATTTTAACTAACAGCAGGTGTAATATCCAGAACTATGTTGACCAAACAATTGGGCAAGATGAACTAGAAGGCCTGAGGTCCATCCTTCAAGCTGAACATTGACATATTTAAATAATGATATTAAAAATTGACTTACATGACAGCTTCTATATAATCCAGCTTCTGAAGTGTTTTGATGAAATTTTTTTAGAAATAGTAAACAATAATGCATTCACTTTAACAAAGCTTTTGTAAGGCACTCATTTGGAGCTCTTGAAAGAAATTAGAACTTCAGATTGGAGGAATGGTATGTAATGGATAAAAAGCTTGAGAAAGAAAAATTACCAATATATAGATATATGAAAGAACATTAAGTATAAAATAATGAACTATCACTCTAAGACATAGAAATATGAATCAGACATTGCCCTCTCAGAAATCATTCAGTAAAGAGCAAATAAAAGGCTATAAATTCATGAAAAAGCAAACCTCAATAAAAATTATTTCAAGACTACAGCATGTTTTACAATATAGCATCTGATTAGTTGGGAAGATAATACACAAGCATAAAAGGAAACATTTTAAGATTTGGGAAAAGTATGCTTTAATTATTTGTTTAAAGTAATATTTATTTTACTATCTATGAGCTACTATAAATTAACTACACTTTTCCAAAAATGTATTTTGTATTTATGCCTAGAAACATCCAAAGTGCCTGGCACATACACATTAAATGAAGATGACATATAATACTCATTTTCTTTTTGTCTTATTTGTTGGTATCTATTTTGCACCAGTGACTAAAACAGATTACATACTCACAGTAAGGATATGCTGTGTGAATTGAAGAAGCAGCAGCTAGGACAAATCAAAAAATTTCTTTCATCTTTACCTCCCCAGCACCCCATGATTCCCATATTGTCATAATCCTTTTCTGTTTGGAGAAGGTAAGGTTCTTGACGTCAAGCAGCATATCTAGCTTTGTAAAAACTGTAAATTCTGAGCATAGAGCCTGGCATATTATTGGAGCGCAATTAATATTTGTCAAATGAGTGAAATGTAGCAGTTTAGGTGTGTGAGTTTATTAAAAAAAAGCCTAATTAAGGCTAGTAACAAACTAACAAGAGAAACTGGGCAGGCTTAATAATGATGTTTGACCTGATGTTATACCAGACTTGGAAGAAATAAATTTGCCAAAGAAAAGGCAATATTTAAAATATGAAAAAGTACAAGGATTATGATGTTACTCACATAAATACAGTAATAATGGAAAAATGATTATACGGTATGATATTAATTAAGTGTAAAGACAAGTTTTGGACATCTTGTTAGATACAGCAGTGAGATATTTAGTGGAAATGCTGTAGAAGCATAAAGATAGGGCTGAAAATACAAATGTAGGTTTATGAGTTTTATTGTTTAACGTATTAAAGAATGTGTGAAGTTGAAGGACAAAGTGATATCTTAAAAGAGAATGGGAACAGCAATAAGGGGCTAAGCATTGAGAAAGTCAGTGCCTGGGAAGCAAAGGGAAGAAAGTGAAGCAGACTGAAATGCTGATGTGAAAGGAATAGGGCAGATGCAGAAAGCGCTGAATGATTCTACTTGGCTCCTGTGGAAAATGAGGTCAGTTATATAAAAAGACACCAGGTAGAAGGCTTTGGATTAAAATTTTCAAATATGATGATTCTAATCATTTTGCCCTGGGCATGAAATATTTACTGTCAATATGTGTGACCTCACAGTCTGTCAGCACTTTTGTTTTTTTCAAGGCCTAGGAAGAGCTGAAACAGATAAAAGGAAAAAAAAAAGTACCATTTGGTGAACTAGGCAAAATGATTTCGTTGTGACTGAATTCGGCATGGAATTTGCATTACTTTGGTCTCATTCAATCGTGTATCTTTAATCTTCAAATCAATGTGATTTGCAGCCCCCCTGCAGCTCTGATTGCCTTTTTCTCTTTGGTACTTCTAAGCTCTTTGACTGTGGGATTTGGTTTTTAGATAAGCCCCAATTCCTTTAAAATACGCAGTGAATCAACAAAGTATTATAAATAATGACATTGTAATTTCTTTGAGCTTCATTGGAGGAAATGTTTACTTGTGGAACTTTATTTAAAAAAAAAAAAATCATCTCCCTGCAAACACTTACAATGGACTACCATTCAATCCCAAGTTGTAACTTTCAGTAAATTTCTACTTTTTATAGAAATATTATAAGAATAATCAAAATAACTGAATGCATCAAATTTCAAATAAAGCTTTCTTGTTATTAATTTTATTAACACATCAAAGATATAAGCATATAAAACTAAGCAGAATATTTTGCATAAAAAGCACAAATAATAAATATCTATGTATTATAATTTATAGATTTCTTTATAGCCATTTATCATATATAAAAAAGCATCATAAGTTGATTCTCCAGGAAACACTAATGCAGCTTTGTGCGAGGAGATTTTTTTTTAGGTTACTCTCAAAAACAATAGCAGTGAGAAAAAGAAGGAAGCTGTTTAGATCCTCAAGGAACTGTAGAGCTGGAATAGCAACTCAGTATTGTCCCAAATTGAGCTGAAAAGAGGCAGGTCCAGGTACACCATATTGACTAGTCACTGGATGTAATTGATCTCATGGAAGACTGGAATTTTGAGTAGGAAGCTTCCTTTGACTGGGAGCAATTCACAAACAGGGATTCAGCTATCAGCACGCAACATTTCCTGCAGTACAAATAAGTCCCTCGACCTTAAAGGGGACGTCTAGATAGTACGTCACAGAATCTCCTACAGAGGAAGGTTGATAACACTGTATTACATGGGAATACTCCTTGTTATTTTCAAAATTCTGGCTGTCAAGACTATTTTTAAAGAACATTTTCCCTTCATTTTTCTTTCTGTGGTGGATTAAAAAGACTGGCGATTTTTCGATATATCTTCCATCAGGAAGTGAGGCTCTTTTCCCAATCCTTTGAATGTAGACTAGGCTGTAGCTACATTGACAAATAAAATACAGTGGGTGTGACAACATGCCAGTTCCAGGCCCAGCCTTTAATAAGATGGGCAGTTTCTATCTTGTTTTTCAAAGGCCTGAGCTGCCAGGTGAGAAGTCTAACTTACTGAGGAAACCACATGGAGTGGTCCTGATACCTCAAGGGGAAGATGAAGATGACAAGCCCAGTTGAGGCCAATATTCCAACTGCTTCCACCAAAGATCTAGACATTTGAGTTTGGGATCCAACTTGGAAGTGAATCTCCTGGCCACTCCCAGCTAGAGGTAAATTGCCCCGCAGAACCCTTCCTGAACTCCTAACTAACAATATTGTATGGAAAAGAAAATTACTGGGTTTTTCAATCACTAAGTTTTGGAGTAGTTAGTAGTCAATAGATGATGAAACACTTCCTCTTTCTTCCATCTTTATAGCCAATTGTTAACATTGCCTTTATGAGCATCAGCTATTGAGAGACTGTGGTAGGCCAGGCTTGATAACTTATTGCAAGCCTTTTGAAACTATATAGGCTTCGTGAGTGTATAGTTACTGATACATTGTCAACCTTAAGGCCTTTGGGCACAAATTAATGCATTCATGCTATTGTGGCAATCTTACTCATTGAAAAATATTAAAATTTACTACTTTAATAAATCATTTTTAACTTTAAAGAATCAATTTATGTTATGGCTTTAATTGTCCAATGCTAAAATTACTTAAAATTGCTTACTGAATCAATTTCTACCTACTTTCTACTAGTTATAAGCAAATGAAGTATGTTTGAGTATATGTGTTTATATGCCTACATACATGTTTGGAAATTTTGCATAGTCAGTTGAGGAATGAGAAAAAACAAACAAACAAAAAACTCCTCTAATTTTATTGCCCTTGTGTAGACAAAGCAACTTGGTGACTTTCCTTCTACTTCTGAATGTTGACACTACATTCTCTAAACATAGTGTTAGGCACAAATGTGTTTTATCCACCATGTTCTCATGAATTCTCTTTCCCATATTAATTCAGAACCCAGTAAATAATTTCTGATTAAGAATTATAAAGGTATGCCAAGAAGGATACATTATAATTATGCCTCTCTACCCTGATCCTGGCCTTTCTTCACATCCACCCAATAAAATACATTGCTGAGGTGTGCACTTAGTTTTGACAACAATTAAATTCAACAAACCTTTAACAAGAACGTTTTTTCAGGTGGCTATCTAATAATGAAGTAATCAAAAGTTATTCAAAGTTTTATTATACAAATTAAGCCTCTGTAGAAATTATTTTAATATAAAATAAATAATAAGTATCATTAAAATGCTTGGATAATGATTGATACTGAACTGTTGGCTCAGAATCAGTGACATATTGAAAATCAAAGTGCTAAAATGAGCTAGGAGGTACATCTAACTCTTCCTAATTTCAGTGTAAGCAAGTATACCAGTTGTTTCAACCAATTAATATTTACAGAATTCTTATGTACATGATGAGCTAGTATAGGAGTATTTAAAGCTGTGTATAATGTCAATACTTGATATAATTTACAACCTGTTATAGCATGTTTTATGCAATGAATATGTTTGCAAATTAATGAGAAAAAATATGTTACTGATAGTTGATTTACAAAATGTTAAGAAAGATGGAAAGATTTGAATTACAAATGGTATAAAATTTTAGGTAGCAGGAAATTTATGAGGTTGGCAGTAGATTCAATGCGTGCAAGGAAAAAGGGCTCTGATCAGCTTTGATCTAAAAGGAGTAAAAGTTAAATAGTGGGACAGGCACGGTGGCTCATGCCTGTAATCCTAGCATTTTGGGAGGCCGAGGCAGGTGGATCACCTGAGGTCAGGAGTTCGAGACCAGCCTGGCCAACATGGTGAAACCCCGTCTCTACTAAAAATACAAAAATTAGCTGGGCATCGTGGCGGGTGCCTGTAATCCCTGCTACTTGGGAGGCTGAGGCAGGAGAATTGCTTGAACCTGGGAGGAGAAGGTTGCAGGGGGCTGAGATCACACCATTGCACTCCAGCCTGGGCAACAAGAGCAAAACTCCATCGCAAAAAAAAAAAAAAAAGTTAAATAGTGAGAGAGGCACAAATACACACACACACACACACACACACACACACAGAGTAGGGAGAATAGAAAATTATAGATGAGGATAATTTGTTTGTCAAATGATATATTCGGAAAGAATGAAGAACCACTTATAGGTTCATGAACAAGATACCCAGTGCACTAAAGAGTAGTCAATATTAAATTAAGAAATAGAGGAAACCCAGATGTAAATCTCCACTTGCAGATCAACGTTAAAGCCTCTGAGCTTTTCATAAGATTTTCATAAGACTTTAAAGATAAATAAAGTAAGTTTGTGAGATCAATGTAATGTGTTTGAAAATACTTTACAAATAAAAGAAAATTAAAATATAATTAATTGTTAGTAATGTAATATAGGAACATTTTAAAAGAATTATGAGACCATAGTGTTAGGTCTTCAGTGGATATGGAAAAGCTTAGATACAAGAAAATTAATGCAGAGACAGTAATTTCAATCTAGGAACCTAGGATTTGGACTAGGTAATGGCAGTAGAAATGGAAATTAATCATGAAAGAATCAAGAGATCTTGTTGAGCAATTTGGAAACAAGAGTAAAAGAACTGAAAACATCCATGTTTTTAAGATTTTATCTTAGGTAAGTAGAATTGGTTGGGGAATGTGGAAGTTAAAAAAGAAAAGAGCTGATTTGAGATTGGGAGTCGAACAGAATAAAAAAATACATTTTCTGTTGTGGAAGAAAACTGGACTTCAAGTCATCACATATTGATATTTACAGAGACTTAACTTTGATCCATACAAATAATTCAATGATTTTTGATGAATTTTATTAATGAAAATGTGATTAATTCAGGATAAAATGCCTATTGTATCATATTATATCCTTAGCTTCATTCCTATCAAAACCCTAAGTGTAATTAGATTAGCTATGGAGGCCAGTAAGGGTGGTAGGAGAAGAAAGACAGAGAGAGAGAAATTTTATTCAGTTTCTTCATTTATTTTCTGATTTTTATTCATTCTGTCCCAATTGATTTTATGTGCTAGATACATGGTCTCACTTTGCACAGTCATGAGTTCAAGATTCACATTGAAATTAATTTATTTTCAAGTTTTCAATTTACATAATGTTGCCATAAACCTTAATGTGCAAGAAGAGTGATATTTCAAGTAAGATACAAAAAAGTCATTCTCATCTCAATTTCATTTTTATAGTAGTATAATGTCCTAATTCTTCTTTTTTTTTTTTTGAGACAGAGTCTCACTCTGTTGCCCAGGCTGAAGTGCAGTGGTGTGATCTCGTCTCACTGCAAGCTCCGCCTCCCGGGGGTCACGCCATTCTCCTGCCTCAGCCTCCCGTGTAGCTGGGACTACAGGCACCCTCCACCACACCCAGCTAATTTTTTTGTATTTTTAGTACAGACTGGGTTTCATCGTGTTAGCCAGGATGGTCTCGATCTCCCGACCTCGTGATCTGCCCGCCTTGACCTCCCAAAGTGCTGGGATTACAGGCGTGAGCCACCACGCCCGGCCATGTCCTAATTCTTATACTCACTGCAGACCTATTTGTCACTGCTCAGGATTGATATGAGTTGGAGCTATGTCAGTGTCTCTGGGTTGAAAGCCAACAATAATGTGTCACAGAGACAGGGTAAAAGAAAACTCACTTTTGATGAGTATCTATATAATCCTTTTATTAGAGATGAATATTTGGTAGCAGAAATTGATGTGTAATAATCACCATTGTATCATATTAAAAAATATATCGGCCGGTGCGGTAGCTCAATCTCACCACTTTGGGAGCCCAAGGTGGGAGGGTCATCTGAGGTCAGGAGTTTGAGAATAGCCTGGCCAACATAGTGAAACCCTGTCTCTACTAAAACTACAAAAATTAGCCAAGTAGGCACCTGTAATTCCAGCTACTCGGGAGGCTGAGGCAGGAGAATCGCTTGAACCTGGGAGGCAGAGGCTACAGTGAGCCCAGACTGTGCCACTGCACTCCAGCCTGGGTGACAGAGCCAGACTCTGTCTCAAAGAAAAAAAGGATATATCACTAATACCACCAATTATTTGAATGCCTATCAAGTTTTTTGAAAGATTATTTGAATAGTTACCTTAGAAAATATTACTTAACATTCTATTATAGAAAATTCTCATCATATGTAAAGTATTAATAGAATAAATAGGTTAATAAACTTCTTATATCCCTCACAAAGATTCAAAAATCATCCATTTCAGCCATTCTTTCTAATTTATATTCCTATGTACTCCTTCTACCCCAGATTATTTTCAAGCAAATCCAAAATTTTATGTAATTTCATGCATACATATTACAGTATGCGTCTCTTCAATAGTTGCTTCTTAAAATGACAGTTAACATCATCATTATATCTGAAATAACTATATTGTCTTAAACTAGGGTCCCTAACCCATGGACAACAACTGGTCAGTGGCCTGTTAGGAACCGGGCTGCACAGCAGAAGGTGAGGGGCAGGTGAGCAAGCATTACCGCTTAAGCTCTGCCTCCTGTCAGATCGGTAAAAGCATTAGATTCTCATAGGACTGCCAACTCTATTGTGAACTGTGCATGTGAGGGATCTAGGTTGCACACTTCTTATGAGAATCTAATGATAAATGTAATGCACTTGAAGCATCCAGAAACCACCTCCACCATCAGCTCCCCATCCCTAACCCCTACCTCCTACCACCCCAACCCTGGTCTGTGGAAAAATTGTCTTCCTCAAAACTGGTCTGTGGTGCCAAAAAGTTAGGGACTGCTAATCTAATATTTAGGCAGTGCTCATATTTTCTGATTATTACATAAATGTTAGATTTTTTAAAGTTTAGTTGGATCATAATTCAAGTAGTTTAAATATATCTTAAGCCTTTTAAATCTGCAAGTCTTCCCCACCTTTTTCTCAGGTTATTTGTTGATTATGGATCATTTTCTCATAAGAATGACACTTTTGCCTTAGGATAAAATGAAAATGACTTCTTAGGTCTATAATTCATCCATCCATGTATTATACAAGCACACACATACTGTAATGTATATCAGTTACTATGTTAGTATCTGCACAGAGAAAATAATTACACAAAACTAAGGGCAATAGTACATTTAAGTGACATGATGAGGTTTGTATTTGTGAAAGCAAATACATTATTGTAGTACAAATATTCCTAGGCTTTCCTTTAATTTTGTCAACCAAGAATCTATCTTTGACATGATATTTTTCCTATTTCTCAAATGCTGAGAATAGTTACTCTTGACAGTGTTTTTGAAGAAAATCTTTCTAAGGCAGAATCTGGAAAAAGTTATAAACTGTAAAAAAATGTTCAAGTCTAAGGATAAAAAGAATGTAATCTATGTGATGGATTATAGGGTCTAGAGTAAGTTAGAAAATTATTGAATACTGTAGGCCAGTTTATACAGGCCAGTATATATTGATTAATTGGAGAATATCAAGTGATATTTATGTGATGAATTTTAAGGACATGTTTAATGGAAGTAAAGAAATGAAAAAATATGTTTTTATAGTCTGAAAAATATATGTTTATGGAAGGGAATGCTTTTTCTTGTATAAGAGGAAGAGCAATTCTCTAAGACAAAATAAAGATTCAAGTGGATTTGAGGGATTTAAGTGGAAAGAAGTTGAAGATTGTATAATTTGAGCAAGTCAAGGATTGTGGATGACCATGGTGAATGAATTGTCCAAGAGAGTGTAAAGTCTCCCACAATAATACATGGGACTAAAGTAAGACTGTAAGACCTGATATAGAAACTTTAAAAAATTGTTAGGAAACTCAAGTGTTTGTAAATGGACAAAATAAAGTGGAGTAGAGGGTGCATAGAAAATGATATGAGATTCAAGGACAAACAAGTTTTGCCACCAAGTTTAAGTAAATAAGAGAGAATCAGAAAGATAGAAGAACTCTGACTCTTGTCTCCTAATTCTCTTGTGAGATAACTAGGTAGAGAAGGATCTGTGGACTTCACTTAATTTAGGGTTGCAGAAGAATCTAGGTCTTCATGCTAAAGGCAGGATTCAATTGAAGAGTTATGAGAAGCAGTAAGAGGTTATGGATGTGATTAAATTTTTTATGATAGAAGAGTCACTCCCCACCCACCCTCATCGCTAATACCCACCATGTTATTCTAATGATGAGTCATAGCTGTGGTCACTTCATTAGAACAATAGTTTTCCACCTTTACTGAACACTGGAATCAGCTGATGATGTCTGGCTCCCATTTTCAGATTCCTAGGTACATCCTGAATTTTGAGAAGCATTGTTGTCATGACCAAACTGCATCCTGAAAATCTGACATCAGGTTAGAATTGCAATTAGCATTAAAAGCATTAAATACATTTCTTTTCTTTTTTTTTTTTGAGATGGAGTTTTGCTCTGTCACCCAGGCTGGAGTGCAGTTGGGCGATCTTGGCTCAATGCAGCCTCTGCCTCCCGGGTTCCAGTGATTCTCCTGACTCAGCCTCCTGGGTAGCTGGAATTACAAGCACAAACCACCACACCAGGCTAATTTTCGTATTTTTAGTAGAGACGGGGTTTTGTCATGTTGGCCAGGCTGGTCTCGAACTCCTGACCTCAGGTGATTCGCCCACCTCGGCCTCCCAAAGTGCTGGGATTACAGGCATGAGCCACCGTGCCTGGTCGGTTTTTTTTTTTTTTAAATCATTGTTGAAATCTCAGATTTAGTCTGTTCTGAGAAAGCAATAGTTACTATGATTAATGTGATTACTACTTTCTCTTTTGGATTATTTATGGTTGATTTAAGACAGATTTTCTTTCACTTTTCAATATATACTTTTGAAATATTGTACTAAGAAATGTTGTTAGTAGTTTCTACCTGAAGCTAACTCAGGTTTTGAAATTTCAAGAAATGCATATTGATTGGAACTGAGCTTGCCAGAAAAATTATTTGTAGAACTTCAATTCAGAATCTAAGCCATAGAGTCCTAATTCAGATGTTGCTCATCAGAATAACTCTGGTATAATTATTTTCCAGATTCCACAAATTATGAAACTTACATGTTATATAAAATCTGGAATACAAATAATTTAGATTAAAATATATTGGGTACTTAGCAAAATCACTAAGAAATGGATTATGATGCTGTTTATTTCTTTTATTATATAAATTTGCAATTTTCTATATTGTAAATGCTACCAGGATTCTAGATTGTTGATCTTACATATTCTTCAGATAATATTGTTTACTCTTACAATGACCACTTATCTCTAAAAGTAGTTTGATCTGTGCCTTTAACTTTTAGAATTTATCGTTTGCCTTGTTTGCCATTGTAGAGTTTTCAGTTTTCTCTTTAGATACAGTGTGACAAAGAGGGAATACATAATTTGTGACCATTTAAGATGTTAAGATTTTCTAGAAAAGAATATAGATAGTAGTGACCAACAGGACCCTCACAATAATTTCTAGACATATAAAGACTGAGTAGATCCCTTAGTACTCTTCTCTAAATTACAAAATGCATTACCTAGGCTTTAATACTTAAAAGCTGGGATTCACTGAACTGCATCTACTTGATTTCACGATACACATTGATTTTTAGTATATAGCTATTCTGTTATCTTAATCAACTCTGTAGTCAGAGTAATATATTTGGTGTTCTGGACCAACAAACAAACAAACAAACAAAACAAATCTAAGTTTAAATTCAGCATGTCACTTCTAGGTGAAAACATGTTTATCTCATGTTTATCTTATCTGAGTCTTTGTTCCTTACTTGGAAAATGACAATATAAATACATTTTTAAATTATTGTTGTGAAAAATAAATGCTATAACATATGTAACATAAAGTAGTATTGTGCTTAGTATTTATTCAATGTTTGATATTAAATATATATGCAGAAGTGAAAAAGGGCTAAGTTATAAGGAAGGGTAAGCAATATAGAATTAGAGAAATGTTTGCCAAAAGGTTAACTTAGAAAATATTTATAAAATATTCATACAAAGTACCCTGTTCTCATGAAATTAAGCTCTAGTAAAAACAGAAAATAATCATGCAATCATGCAAACAAATATATAATTTTAAACTCAAGGAAAGTATTATACAGTGAAGCAAAGAAAAAGGGTTTCTATAACAAAATAACAAAGGAAATTGAATTGGACTATATGTGGTGAATCAGAACTCTTCCCTAAGGAGGCGACTCTTGAATGACACCTAAAGATGAATAAGTTCAGTAGATAAAGTATTGTGTGTGTGTCTGACAAAGTGTGTGTGTGTGTGTGTGTGTGTTTGATAGTGGTTTCCCCAAACTAACTTGTTTTGACTGGAAAAGAAAGAAGAACACTAACAAGGGCAGGACTCTGATGTAAGTAAGCGTAAAGATAAGCAATATGAACAGACAAAAGCAAAATGAAATTCATAATGAGAAAATACAAGTTAATAGTATATCAAGTGAAACCATTTTAAATGTGCATGGAATGAATTTCTTCCAAATTGATGGAAACAAAAATCTAAATACTTGACAAAACTTACAACTCTAATTTTACATGACTTGAGGTTGCATATCTATACCTTTCATGACGTGGGCCTAGGTATCATCTTCTTCTAAATTTTATCTCCATTTCAAAACACTTTAATTCCTCCTACTCATTGTCTTCAAATAAACATATTGTCATTGTATGTTATTCAGGAAAACTACTTATTATTTTAAAACTTGATTGTTAAATGGGTTAGATCATGCAGGTTCTGTACAAAAAGATTGTACAATATGTATAAGATTTTTATTCAAGTTCCTGAGTTTTCTTAAATTCAAATAAATTAAGAAATAAGAAAGAGCCATTTCCTTCATCACCTAATTGCAGTTATCACTGGGATAACATGTGGCAGCTGTTTAACAGCTCTGCAGACTAAAAACTACCAGGAGAAATTTGGCAGGTGGAATATAATTACCCAAACCAGTCCTTATCAAGGTCTACAGGGCAAACAGCCCCTACCCCACTTATATATTGCTTTCAAATATTGATGATCATAAAAAGATCAGTGATTTATTTTTTATGTCATTCAATATATGTAGCTTAGTCATATTGAAAGAAAACTATAATTTTCTACTTAAAAAAACTCTAATGATAGTATTTCACCATTAAAAGACATTGATATAACAAAGAACAGATGTATTTTATGCTTTTCATAAAATACTGAACCTCGTTATACATATATACCTCATGATATAATTACATATATACTCCACATATATGGTTTATGATGAATTAAAATTTCCCTTCCTTTTTCCAAGTTCTAATATAAAATATTCAGTGAAGGTATTGCCTCAAGAAGTATATTTATTTACCTGAAATAAATATAAAAATATGTTTAAAATTATATGGTGCATATATTTATTTTATAGTAGAAATTTATTTAGGTTTTTATTAATGGTTTGATAGACTGTTAATTTCATACAATTTTTTTCTTCTTCTATTCTAATTACTGATATAATGCAAATTCAGAGAATAAATCTCTAATGTCTGGATTTTGAAAGAAAATAGGCCCTGGCTTTGGTCCATCTTCTGCCACAATAAGGTTAGGGCAGAATTTTCAGATTTCATTTCCACTTTACCGTGCCACTTCCTATAAAAACTTTCAGGCTCTCTCATTTTGTGTTCTAAAGCCAATATTTTGCTTAATTCCAGTGTCAGAGTATTAACGCTGTTGGTTTATTTTTAATTTATGTGTGGTAGTAAATAACTATTTGTGTTTAACAAAATTTTAATTTATTCTTGGAATTTATTACAATTAAGGATTTTATACAGGTACTGGGTTCCAGATGGATTTAAAATCAAGTTGCTCTCCTTTTTTTTTCTCCTGTGTAATATCTAATTGGTCTATTTCACTTAGGTTTCTTTGGACATTGTTTTATACAGCTTTCTGTCCCTAATTTTATAATAATTAAAAATTATATTTAATCTGATATGTTATCTCTTTCTCAATGTGAATTTAATTTTGTTTTCTCCCCTCACATTTTTATCTTTAGACTTACATCATATTTCTGTCTTTCTCAGTTTCTTAATTCTTCTCAACTTAATATTACCTGAAATTTGAGACAGGCTTTTTATTCTTTCAGTTTAGTACAGAGGTTATAATTAAGTTCAAATTTGATATTATTTCATCAGCAACTTCCCAAAAGTTTCCTAAGATGACTTCATTTATAGAGATTATTATTTGCTGTTTATATTCTGCTTCCACATTGATTATATATAGCTAGTGGTATCACTAAATCTACTACATAACTATATAGAAATAGAGGTTATTTTAACATTTGAATGATGATGGTACTGCGCATAGTAATTGCATTACAGTGCAAAAACTATGGGAATAGATGAAATGGTGTTTTCCTATCAAAATCTATTTTCAGTTTGTTCCTGATGCCATTGTCCTACCTCACTATTTTCATATCTATTAATATCAGCATCACACAGACTGATTTTTTCTGTTAAAAAAGAAACTGACTGCATATTTATATTTTCTCAATGTTATGCTGTTTTTAAAAAATTTTGACCATTTTTTTTTGCTTCAAATAACTTTAAATGGTCCAGAATGTTTATCCCTTCCCTTAATAGCCTAAGGTGTTTGTCATCTAGACCTGCTGATTTGCATATGTTGAATTTCCCAAGTATTATCTTTGCCTGATTTTTGTCAATAGCTATTTTGCAAAGTCATGATTACTTTCATGTTTTCTTAGTTATTGTCAGAAAATCACACAGCCATAAATAAGACCATCATTCCTTCCAATCGTAAAATAATGACAATGAGTTTCATATTTAAATATTCCAGCCGATTTATGAATAATTGTAAACAACAAAATTTGTTCCTTAAGTGAGGACTTTGAACAATGGTAAAGGAAATTGATCTTCACACCATGTATGTCTTAGAACATATTAAAAAATACTGGCCAGATCACTTTGAAATGGATATTTTTATTCAGTGCTATATGAAATTATGTTAGATACAAACAAATATCTCTTTATTATGGCCTTTTTGTGTGTGTGTGTGACGGAGTCTCACTCTTTTGCCCAGGCTGGGGTGCAGTGGCGTGATCTCTGCTCACTCTAACCTCCATCTCCTGGGTTAAAGTGATTCTCCTGCCTCAGCCTCCCAAGTAGCTGGGATTACGGGTGCTACTTACCCTGGGATTACCACCACTCCTGGCTAATTTTTTGTATGTAGTGGAGATGGGGTTTCACCATGTTGGTCAGGCTGGTCTCAAACTCCTGACCTCAGGTGATCCACCTGCCTCAGCCTCCCAAAGTGCTAGGATTTAGATGCATGAGCCACCACGCCCAGCCTATTATGGCATTTTTAAAAAACAGTTGGATTAGGATTATTAAAAATAATTCCAAACTGTTTCTTATCTGGAAGGAATTATATTGCTGAACAAAGGTTTAGGGACGCTTACTGCTTATGAATCATCAATGAGTCAGGGATTTATTATTAACTCTTTAGTGTATGATAGACTTTCTACCAGGCAATAAAGATTCAATGAAAGACACATACATTTTAACAATTATTCTCTTGGATAAGACAGATAATTAACAAGTAAATAAAATGATAATATGTAGTTTATCTATCTATCATCATTTATGTATGTGTCATTATTACACAGATGCTGCGTTTGAAGGATAATGTTTAGAAGAGTGACTTCTGCATATGATTTTACTCTTTTGGGTAGGATATCAACAATGACCTCTCTAAAAAGATGATATTTGTATTATTTTAAAAGGCAGAAGGAGGTTTTGAGGTGGTGGGAGCATATTGGGTATCCTTAAAATAGGAAAGAGCTTGATGTATTCTAGGAACAAAGGGACTCTCAGACGTGGATGGACCTTAGAGTGATTAAAACAACCAAAATTTGTAGAAAGAGGCAGAGAGGGATCCATCACTTGATTTATATTTTAAAGATAGTTCTTACTGCTCTTAGAAGAAAATACTAAGAGGCAGTAACTACAGGAAGAAAAAAAGTTTTAAAAAGGTTAGCATAATCCAGATGAAAATTTACCAGGCTTAGACTAAGGTAAAAAACATTTGGACCTTAGTAAAACTGACGATTTTGTCTGATGAACTCGATGTGGCAGGATAAGGTAAAGCAATGACTAAGAAGAAAGCCAGCTTTAAGCAAAAATTGAGCAAATGAGAAAACAATGCCATAGTTTTGCCTTTTCTTGGTTTTATTTTAATAGTGAAAAAATTAAGAGAGAGTTCATTTTATGACATGAATCATGAATCAAGAATTCCAGAATTCTGTTTTGGCTATGGTAAATTTGAGATGTCTGAAACACAGCCCAGCTTCACTGGAATTCTGGAGAGCAGTCTGAAATAAAGATATAAATTTGTGAGCCTTTAGCATATAGATTCTGTTTCCCATCATGATGCTGAATAACCCATTTAAGTAACAAATTTTAACAAAAGATTAATGGATGTAGATGGAATCCAAAGATTAATATGAATGGAAATGTTTGCATTTTATATTTTACCAAGCTTAATTAACTAGCATTTTCTTTAATTATTACCGAAAGCAAAATAATAATAATGATCACCAACAGGAATTATAGCTATTGTTTTAGTGTTTGCTGATATCTCAGAATGTGGTTTATACTAAACTGATTTCAAATTTATTGTCGTAGTAGGCGTACCATGAGATTTTCCTATTTAATATATAAAGAAGCACATATATTACTTGAATACAAACCTTTTAAAATATATTTTGAAGCTTGATTTTCTTTATCCCTATTATATATCTTATGCATAAAAACAATATTCTAAAAATAAGTGCGATGTTTTACCAGGCTACCAAAGAGATCCATGTGATACACACAAAAATAAAAATCTTAAATTATCTTGAAAGGCGAGATTGTAGAACCTAGGAGGCTTGTCTAAAAAGAGAAGGTAGATCAAAGAGAAGGAGTCAGCAAATGAGATGACGAATGAGTGATCAGTGAGGCAGAAGAGAAATCAGAAGTGTCTGGCATTATTAAAGAGAAGATTAATCACATAAATAAGAATATACATTATTTCCATTATGAATACATCGTCTATTAACTTATTTATTAACATTCATTGTAGGCCAAATGTAGCACTAAACATTTGGGATTAAAAGACATGAAGTGCATGTTGACTGCTTCCAAGTTGCTCATAATCTGCCTTATTTGGACTCAATTATACCCTCATTTATGTTGGCTTAAAAATGCAACCTTAATGTTATTGTGTGGTATAAGACAATAAGTAGGTTGACCTTTTTTTTTTTTTTGAGACGGAGTCTCACTCTGTCCCAGGCTGGAGTGCAGTGGTGCAATCTCGGCTCACTACAACCTCTGCCTCCCGGGTTCAAGTGATTGCTCCTCCCTCAGCCTCCCGAGTAGCTGGGGCTACAGGTGCGTGCCAGAATGCCCAGCTAATTTTTGTATTTTTTTTTTTTAGTAGAGACGGGGTTTCACCATGTTGGTCAGGATGGTCCCGGTCTCTTTGACCTTGTGATCCACCCACCTCAGCCTCCCAAGATGCTGAGATTACAGGCGTAAGCCATCGCGCCCAACCGGTTGACTATTTCCAGAAGACATAAGTAGATACCCCAGTAGAGTCACATTTATTTAAAAAGTTGCATGGAGCTATGAACAATCTAGGAATGCTGGCTAAGATAGATAAGTTAGCCTATATGGGGTTAGAAACAATGAAAACAAACCTACTTACTGAATTGTGTGAATCTAGTCCTGGAACAAAATCTCTAATAAATGCCTTCAAGCAATTATGTCACTATTTATTTTTCTGGGAACATAAACTTCATTAAACAGATGATCATCCTAAAATATTGAAAACAGTCACTAATTGAAGGGTTTAAAATAAACATAACTGTCAGGCCAATAGTCCTTAAAAATAATCTCCCAGGCCAGTTGTGGTGGTTCCTGCCTGTAATCTCAGCACTTTGGGAGAACAAAGTGGGCAGATCACCTGAGGTCAGGAGTTCGAGACCAGCCCGACCAACATGGTGAAACCCCGTCTCTACTAAAAATACAAAATTAGCTGGGTGTGGTGGTGCATCCCTGTAATCCCAGCTACTCGGGAGGCTGAGGTAGGAGAATAGCTTGAACCCGGGGGCAGAGGTTGCAGTGAGCTGAGATCATGCCATTGTACTCCAGTATGGGCAACAAGAGTGAAACTCTGTCTCAGTGATAATAATAATAATAATAATAATAATTTTCCAATAGGTTGTGGGCTGGTAAAAAAAATTCTAGGTTTTATAGGCAAACCTGGGTTTAAATCTTGGCTTTGTCAACTAGATGAATCCTAATAGAAAGTGACTTCACACTGTTATGAGTTAATTGAAGAGACGTTAGGAACAAGTTTTTTTTTGTTTTGTTTTTGTTTTTTAATTTAAAAAAAGGTAGGAACCATATTAAGAAAAAAAAAGGGGCTAGGCGCAGTGGCTCACGCCTGTAATCCCAGCACTTTGGAAGGCCGAGGTGGGTGGATCACGAGGTCAGGAGATTGAGACCATCCCGGCTAACACGGTGAAAACCCGTCTCTACTAAAAATACAAAAACAAAATTAGCCGGGTGTGGTGGCGGGCGCTTGTAGTTTCAGCTACTCGGGAGGCTGAGGTGGGAGAAAGGCATGAACCCGGGAGACGGAGCTTGCAGTGAGCCGAGATTGTGCCACTGCACTCCAGCCTGGGCGACAGAGCGAGACTCCGCCTCAAAAAAAAAAAAAAAAAAAAAAAAAGCCAGCGTGCTGGCACGCACCTGTAGTCCCAGCTACTCAGGAGGCTGAGTCAGGATAATCACTTGAAACCAGAAGGCGGAGGTTGCAGTGAGCCGAGATCGCGCCACTGCACTCCAGCCTGGGCGACAGGCTGGGGAACAGAGCCAGACTCCGTCAAAAAAAAAAAAAAAGAGAGAGAGAGAGAGAGAAATAACAAAGGTTGTGTAGGTCTCCAAAGGTTACAAATATTGGATAACCTTTGTCACTGATAGGCCTGATAAAGTGGGAGCGGGAGTATAATGTAATCCAGATAGGGGGATATATAGCTGTAGAAGGAGCTGAAAGGTAGGAAATGTGGCTTTAGGTAGCAGAAAGCACACTTAGATAGAAGAAAGCAGCCAAGCAGAGAGAGCACTGGAGGACCATTTACTCTGTCCTCTCTTTCTTACTGTTTACTGATCTTCCTCTGTTGTCTTCCCTTGGCTCAACCCAAACAGAAATCAAAGTGTGAGAGATCCCTTTGAAGTAGTCCATAGAGATCAGTCATCTGGAGAGCGAAGTATCGTGAATGAAAGGTGGATAATGGACAAGAGGGATTAATGGTGATTACCGAGAATACAAACCAAAGAAGGTGATGTCTCTGAGACATTTTTTTCTGGTCTAAAAAAGGCAAATAAAACCTCTCATAGTTTACGGAGAGTGTGAAACAGAATAAACCCAGCACACAGCAGCACAGAAAGAAGAGTCCATTGTAAGAAGCTCTACAAATAATATCCATTTGATGAATTCTGTCTTGCTCTAGTTATCAAATGTTTCATTTTTTCTTAAGTTACTATATCAATTTCACCAATCATTTCTCATTCCAAGAATGTCTGTAAGTTGTTGGTTGACACTGGAAATTATCACAAACACGCCACTTTTACCAGTGTTACTACGTCTTATTATTATTTCTCAGCAGCCAGAGACATCCTTCCCTCCTTTTTCCCTTCATCTCTTTTATCTCTTCCTCTACACTCCTCCTTTCCCTTTTATTCCTGTACCCACACCTTTTCTCTCTCTCCTCATCTCTGTTTTATTTTTGTTTTGCCAGGTGAGAGAATAATGCTAACCATTAAGGAGTGACTGAAAAAGTTTGAATATTATCAGGCTGTGAGAAAAAAAATGATTTTTTTCTGTAAGTTTGCCAAACTATAGCCATGGGAGTAATAGACTCCAAGCCTTCATATTTTTTTACTCTGAAGCCATTTTCTGATTGAGCTAATGGAAACTTTAGAGTGATGGCTTGTCAGGTGAGCATATTCCTGCTGTGTGTCAAGTCATTTTTCTTCTCTAAAAATGCTATGGATTAGTTATGCAGTTTCATTTGTAAAATCAGTGAGAAGAGGAATGGTGATAATTTTGATTCATATGAAGAAAAAAGGATATAAATATTTTATATGGCAGACTGTGAAGCCCTCCCAAAAAGACAAATATTGTGACTATGAATCAGTCAGATTAAATTTGAAAATAAATTAATTTCAGCCATGTAAAATAAACTACTATATATATATAGATATAGATATATCTCTATATATCTATATCTGTATCTATATCTATATCTATATCTATCTATCTATATATGGATCTTTTAACATGGCTTCTAAGTTTCTGTGTACCTAATATTTTTATAGATCTGTGTTGTCATTCAAATTCTACCTCACCGTGTAAGTTTTTTGAGATTAAGGCTGAGATTAAAGCAAGTATAAAGGATAACTTCACCTTACGGGTGAAATTTCACCTTAACGGGCGATGGAAAAGTCCCCTTAAAATATCTGAGTATAACAATTGAAATTTCTATTTTTGTGAGTCGAATCCAAAATAAAAAGTAGCATTCCTTTATATGTTTATAATCCAAGCTAGTGTTCAATGTACTATTGTAGATGTAGATAATTATTAATAAATCTACATATAACTATTAAATGTCTCACTGCTTCTCTCTCCTTCCTTAACTCTCCATAAACATTGCCCCAAGTACCTCTCTCTGTTTTCACATACACTGTCTATCCAGATTGGTTTCATAACTTTTACTAAATATATAAAGCCAGTTTCACAAATTAAAAATAAATAAATAAATAAAAATTACGTTAACTCTAAGTAACTCCCTCAAAAATATACGACTGATTTTGAATCCATGTAATGTTATAACATGGACTGATGCTTATAGCTAACTTTTAACTTTTAGATAAGATTAATCCACTATATGTGTGCTATAAAACAGACCTCCTGGTAGATATTTGTTAAACTTATTGAACAGAATACACAACTGTATAACAAATGGATCAAATGGATCTCTTCTTCTCTCCTTTTTTTATTAGCTGATGAACGGAACTTGAAGGCTAACAAAAACTTTTACTTATATCACCATTTCACAAAAGTTAAAAAGATGAACATAAATACTAGATTAATAAATTTGTATATAAATATTGAATTATTGTTTAATAATTCATTATCATCGTTCAACAACTATTGTTAAATAATTCAGTTGGATTATTCTACCCTTAATACCTGCATAAAAATGGCTAGAAATCCATTGTACAATTTTAGAATATCTCTTAATTTCTCACAATATCTCTGATTTATATGACTATGGGCAGCTATCTTAGCCCCTTCTGGACCCTAAGTTCCAGCTTTGTCTAAATTAATTCTGTCTATCAATCTTCCAATAATACTAGATTTGCTGCCATTGTATTGCATTGGGTAGACTCAGTGACTTTCTTTAATTAATCTTCTTTATTGATAAAATTCAAAGTATACAAAGTATTAAGTATATACAGTGGCTTTGAACTGTAGAAATAAAGTAAACTTTAAATTCAGGATCAAATATACCTGTTCCAAATGATCACTGAACAATCCCATCAGCAGTGTTCACTAGCTTGCCATTCTATACTGTATCTCTGCTTTTTTTGGATTCTCTCATTTACCCTCTTACCTTACCCACCCATGCCACCTCTTAGTAGCTCTATTCTGACTTATGCCAAGGAACCCAAAGCCCGTCTCACTCTATTTTGAAAATCCAATTTTCTGAAGGCTTGAATCTGAAACACAGATCCAGATCCCCATTCCCGTATCTGAAACCTACCAACATGCATATATGATATCTACTTAGCAACAAAAAGGAGCAGCAGAAAACAAAAAATTTACTAATAGCATTTTTGCATTATATATAATAAAGCAGCCATAACAATTTAAAAAAAGACTCAGAATAATAACTTTAAAGATCAATGCTGATTATCTGTCTTGTAAATCCTAATTTTTACAGAGTTTGCCTTTTCCTTGATTGAAACCCTGTGAAATATGAGTCATCTCCGGCTTATTCATGTAACAAATGTTAAAGCCTTCCACGGCCCAGTTACTAAATCGGAGCTAGTGAGTATAAGATAGACATAATACTATACAAGTTCATTGAACCTAAAGTGGAAAAAAGTTATCAAATCAATAATGAGAAACTGGATGCGGTTTCAGAGAGAGAAGTACAGAGTGATACTTGTGAATAGGGACTTAACATGGTCTAGAGGCCATGGGAATCAAGAGATCTACAGTGCAGGAATCTTTTGATTTGGTGGAAAAAGATGGGTAAACATAACAGCTGATTTTTACAAGTGTCAATTATTTGAGCAGCATATTAGTAATTTTGTTATGTGATTCTACAACTTCTATTATTATTTAACATTTTATTTAAATCAACTCATTTTTAAATTTTGCTTTATCCAAAACTGTATTATCCATTAAGTCATGGTAATCATGCATTAATTACATTATGCAATAGAGTACTTACATAGTCATTAAAAGTTGTTCATCCATGCGACTACTAAAAGTATTTTTATTATCACCAGTTCAGGATAACAGTGGAGTGTATTATGGAAGATTTATAAGAGCATGTGCTCAGGGTCTAGCTGGGCTAACCGATTGCCCTTGAACCAAGTCAGGAACCAAACAAACGATAAGTCATTAAATGTGCAGAATAAGCCATGTTGTTATTCCTCCATTTAAAGTTGCACCCCCCCAAATTTATGCAATTGTATACTTCTGATAGGTCATGAGATAGGGCATTCTTCTTCAATACAGAAAACAATAAGGTCTCTTGGATACCTGAATACAATAATTTACCTTTCCTGGTGATCTAACGAAAGAGTTCAAGAAACATCATATGTGAGGTTTGTATTAAGACTGCCCATAGAACAATTCTTAAAAGTGGATGCTTAGGACAATCTGAAAAGAGTCCAAATACTAAATAGCCACTAAGTAATAAAACTTGATCAGCTGCTGGGGAATTAGGCCAATCAACATATCAGCAGTGGAGACGGAATGGAAAAAAAATTAATCTACAACATTGAAAGCATATTGAGAACATGCAGAGAAAGAAGAAAATATGGCTGAGTTCATCAATGATTGGTGGAAAAGTAAAATTATGCTGCTCCTTCCTATTTATAGGCAGTTTGAATTCTAGACTTTAGGTTGCAAAGTTGCCCATGAAATAATGTAAGCAGGAGAAAAGAAGGGAACTGGTGCACATTTGGAGTAATCAAGCAAGCCAACGCTGTGAGGTTTCCGAACCAAGATTATAATTTTCAAATCAGCTTAATAAATTTCACGTGAAGCATGCGATTTTGGTGAGTGATTCAGGAACACTCAGTGGTCAGAAAAGGATTAGTAGTATGGAACATTTCTGCCTCCTAAAATTTTTCTGTTTGCAACCTCTCACAGTTACCAAAATAAGAATAGACAATATAATAAAAGGCATAATGAGTGACCTTGGAAATGATGCCATTTACCTGCACCTGTCTATTCTCTCATCATTGCATGCGGTTTCCTATTCCATCTCTCCTTTATTGAGACTATTGCATATGTGTCATTGCCCACGAGATGCTGGACTTTTAACACCTAGGCCAGTACCAACTGCTTTCTGCCCCCATCAGTTTGCAAGTTACGTCAAAATATGGTGTTTTGTATTCATATTTTTATCCCTAGTGCCAAGCACATTAGCCTAATTGTATTAAATGCAGATATATATTAAATAGTGCTCTTCAATGCGTTAAATAATCAAATGCCAATTCTACCAATGTTAGAGATAAATCTGCCATTGTATCTTGTGTACATTTTTTTTTCTAAATTTAGAAGAAATAAACCATATCTTAAGCAAGTTAAAGATAAAACTTGTGCCTTATTTACTTGTTTTTCTCTAGGAAAAAAGAGGAGTTTAACAGTAAATATGAATTGATAGCATTTAAGAAGAAATACTGGCTTGGGAAAACTTTCCATATGAATCGTAATTTAATTTTTACAGTCATATATTATAGATGAGGTCTAATGTTATTTGTATGAAACTTGACTAGAGTGGCTTAGTGTTCTCAAGGTCACATAAAAGAAACCAGGGTTTAGACGCAAGTGTGTCTCATTGCAGTCTATGGCCTGGTACTTTCCTCACATACTAGAGTGGCTCAGATATAGTGATCAACAATCACATGAAAATAAAGATATGCTCCTATTTAGATGGCTTCATATATTGAATAACATTAATTATACCTTGTCAAGACTCTCCTGTGTTTAGGTCTAAACCCTTTTCTCAACTTATTTAATGACTTTTGCACTATAGATTCATATAGAGCTCAGCTACAATAACTTTGTCCAATTTATTTAACTTGTTTGTCCCGTAATTTCTTTAATAAAAAAGAAGATAAACACTCATAAGGGATATATTATTCTCATAAGTGCTTCAGACTATTAATGACAATATACGTGCTTAGATAGCCTTTGGCATGTAGAAGATGTCATATACCTATATATATATATTTTTCTAATTTATGCCCTTTATGTTGCATTTCCTTTTCATATTTAAATAAGTTTTTTTCTTATTTTCATTATTCCATTCTCAATGATACACAGCAGGTAGAAAAATAAGATTCATTACAATTTATCAGTTGAAAATTAGCATAGTTATTTTAGTGTGTGCTTATGGCAGGGGCTAATATTTTGCCAGCGATTGAATCAGAGCCAGTATGACTCTTGGGACTGCCTTCATCTCACTTAAATAGTGGGCCATAACTCCATGAATCTGGGCAAAAGAGTGACACAAATTTGTAGAAAACATGAACAAAATAAATGTCATTCTATATTTAAAGAAAGCATTCTGATATTTTTACTACTATTTATTACTATTCTTTAAAAGTTTAAATCTCAGCTTCTTAAAAATCACAGATGACAAAAACCTCAGAAAATATGAATAATATGTATATTACCCGTTTTATAAAATACCAAGAAGGAGCCTGGTAATATACCTGGTTGTGTTTCTGTAGAACTACCCATTTTCCGGTAAAAAATATATAATAATTTGTTTTCAGAAAATGATATAAAATAAGAATAGTTCAAGGAAGAAGGTAAATATTACATAAATCTCTCTACACAGATATGATCACTATTAGCAGGTTATTGGTAATTCTCACATTTCTATGATACACACACAAACACAGAATGGTGTTTTATTGTTGGCATGTTTCCTTTTAAAATTAGAATTGATATTTCCCATCTCTCCCTTCTTTTCTCCTCCATCTTTTTACCCCTCACAGCTCTATTATTGGATGAATACCTTTCCCAAATTTTCTACTTATGTATGTGTATGTATACATATATATATATATAGTCTACTTATGTAGGTGTGTATATATATATGTGTGTGTGTGTTTCTAAAAATTATAACTTAAAATATCATATTTAAAATATATGTATATATATATTTTTTGAGACGGAGTCACACCCTGTCGCCCAGGCTGGAGTGCAGTGGCACCATCTCGGCTCACTGCAAGCTTCACCTCCCGGGTTCACGCCATTCTCTCGCCTCAGCCTCCCGGGTAGCTGGGATTACAGGCATGCACCACCATGCCCAGCTAATTTTTTGTATTTTTAGTAGAGACGGGGTTTCACCGTGTTAGCCAGGATGGTCTCGATCTCCTGACCTCGTGATTCCACCTCGGCCTCCCAAAGTGCTGGGATTACAGGTGAGAGCTACCACACCCGGCCCTAAAAATATAGGTTTAACACGCAGTGTAATATGGAATATATGCTATGATCTTTCTGGTACATCTTTTAGGATTAGTAGCTGTGATGTTTTAGAAAAGTTTAAAGTCCTCATGAAAGCTCTGTAACATAATATTGCTTGATTTGATGGAAAGATACAGGACTCAAAATATACTCCTAACAAAAATTATATTCATGATCAATTATATTCATATGTAAAAATAGAAAAAATAAAGATAGCATTGCCTATAGAAAATAAAAATGTAAGAGCAGTAAGGCTTAGTCAGGAAGCTTCATGAATTTTGATATATCTGAAGCTCAGGCTTGTACAGAAATGGAAAAGAGCATCTCATAGGACTAGAAAGAAAATATTGTTACATTTCCAGATGCGCTACTTCAACTGTTCTGTCTTCCCCCTGGAGGGAAGGCAGCACTGAAAATCATAAAGGGTAATACACAAATACAAACACACACACACACACACACACACACACACACACACTCTCTCTCTCTCTCTCTCAAGAACGAAAAAAAACAAATATTAACAAAATGTTCATGGGTGGAAATTAGATGGGTAATAGCAAATTGAGTATTGGCAAAAAGATGAAACATGCAAGTAATGAAGGGATCCTAGAAGTTGGTTCATCCATGCCACAGGACTTCAAACAGCTTTAGTAATTTTGGAAACCAGAACCATTGAAAGTAGAGTGATAAAAATAGGAGTATTTGAAAATCCATAAAAGAAGCATCAGAAGGGGCCAGGCACAGTGGCTCATGCTTGTAATCCCAGCACTTTGGGAGGCCGAGGTGGGCAGGTCACTTGAGGTCAGGAGTTTGAGACTAGCCTGGCCAACATGGCAAAGCCTGTCTCTACTGAAAATACAAACAATAGCCGGGCATGGTGGTACACACCTGTAATTCCAGCTACTTGGGATGCTGAGGCACAAGCATTGCTTGAACCTGGGAGACAGAGGTTGCAATGAACAGAGATAATGCCATTGATGGCAGCAGCAGCCTGTCTGGAGTGGCTGCTACAAAGACGCCAGCTGCAGCATAGGAGGTGTGGCCAGGGATGAAAGCTCCATGGAGCCAGAGGCAGCTGGGAACAGGCAGGAGTTTCATCCCCTTCTGAGCTGTTAGGGCAGGAGCCTCATGCTCCTGGGCACAATTGAAGCTGCCTAGCCTTGACTGTGGACCTGGGCATCCCTGTGATATTGGGGTCCAGGAAACCCCTTGGCCCTGCAGGCTTCAAAATGTGTGCTCCCACTGCCTAGTCTCTACATGCTCCTGGCACCTGCTCAGATTTTGGAGGAAAGTTGTGGCCGAGCCCAAGTGCTGTCACAACCCGGACAGGTGTGTGTGCACTGGGGCCAGTGCTGACTCTCCAGCCCCCTTGTGGCATCAGCCCCATGCTTCCTTAGCTCCCTCTGGACTTTGGGCACTGATGAGCATGGGAGGGAGATTGAGGGAGGGCTGAGGGCAGCTTGGCACAAGCCTGCAGGCTTCCATTGGCAAAAAGAACCTGAGCACTGTGAATGGCAGGTTAATGGCAGCAGATGGCAGAGAGGTTCCTGGGTGGAAAGAAGCAGGTCCTCAGGGATGGCCTGAAGTCTGGGGGCTGAGCTACCAGTTCTGTGGACTGGTGTAAGAACTTTTGGTGCTTTTCCCCTGCCCGCCCATGGCTGCCCATGGACCAATCAGCATGCACTTCCTCCCCTCTGAAACCCAAAAAAACCCTGGACTCAGCCAGACTCTAGCAGATGTCAGGAAAATCTGCCTGCAGAGAGGAGCTACCCACTGTGGGTCTCCTCTCAGCTGAGACCTGTACACTTGTTCAGATGACCTGCCTGTGGATAGGAGCTACACACTCCGGGTCTCCTCTGTCCTGAGAGGTGAACTCGTTGGGACGACCTGCCTGTGGAAAGGAGCTACCCACTTCAGGTCTCCTAAAAGCTGTTCTGTCACTCAGTAAAGCACCTTTTAGCCTCACTCACCCTCCAGCTGTCTGCCTATCTCATTCTTCCTGGACACGGGACAAGAACTCAGGACCTGCTGAATGGCAGGACTCAAAGAGCTGCAACACAAATAGGGCTGAAACACAGTTCTCACTCGCCACATTGTGGGTAATGAGAAAAAGAGGAGAGAAGAAGAGAGCTGCTTTCCTTTGGGGAGCCCCGACCTAGGAGCTCTCTGAGCCAGGGCTTTGACACCCTCTTTGGGGCTATGCAGTTCCTGGCATCTCCAAGCTTCTGGATGCCACTGTGTTCCCCAGTGCTAGCAGTGGAAGCTGCCTGTAGTATGCCTGGTTTAGCTGCAGCCTCACAGGGCCCCAGCACTGATGCCGGCACCTGGAGCCGCCTGCCGTGTCACAGCCAGCATGCCTGGCTATGTCCAGGGGCTTGACCCCATGCCTGCTTACTCATACACCCCACTCTGCACCTGGCTCACCCTTGGCAGTCATGGGATCTGGGCCAGTAGCATGAGCTGAGTGCAGCCTGCTAGGCCAAGTGCACAGAACAAGCGTAGCATACCCAAGCAGAACTTGGGTAAAAGTGCCACTGGCCACTAAGGTTTCTGGCTGGCTGAGTGACACCCTAAGGATCCTGTGACTCCACTGTGCTCCAGCTTGGGTGATGGAGTGAGACTCCGTCTCAAAAAAAAATTAAAAAACAAGCATCAGAATCCAGGCAAATCCCTTGCCACCTGTGTCTAGATGACTACTCCTCCCCATCCTGGAATAAACAAGGAGTTTATTCTCCGAAGAGATTGATCCTGAAAGATTGGAGGTAGGTGGGGATTGCACCTGCAGGGTACATCTGAAGGCCAAGTAACTTTCTGAGATGAAATCCAACCAAATGATGGGTCTAAGCCTGTGTTCCTTGATCCTTTAAACTCATGGGTCATATACTCATCTATGACAAAATTATAGTCTGCTGCCCTAAAACTAACAGAATTTCCTTTTATTTGAAGTACATGACCTAGTCCTTACAGAAAACTTTTCAGTATTGTATTTATGAATTTATGTAAGCTACATTAGCAACCCATATAGGCAAGATTTTGTAAAAGGAAACATACTAGATTATACATATATATGTGTGTGTGTGATAGGACATAACTTTTGCCATTGTGATTCTTAAAAGTTAGATGAGGCACTAGAAAAGAAGTGTCGCAAGTTTGAAGCAGATTTCAGAAGGAATTTCAGAAGAATATTTGATGTTATCCAAGGGGAGTAATCAGGATTTTGCTTAAATATCCAGTTAAAATCACCTTTAAAATGAAAAACATACAAAGAAATTAAAAAATGCTGGTATTTTATGAATAGAAGGAAAGAATAATGTGCAGAGGTAAAAGAAATAATTATAGCAAAATGAATTATTGATTTAGTTTAGTCCAAAGCCACTTTCTTACATATTTTAAATTCAGCCTAAAGATTTCTCCATACATAGCAAATGGTAAACTAACACGATATGTGAAGAGATTGCTCATACCAATCATGGAGTTTCAGCACTCACAAGTGGCCAACTGTTCAAACTGTGTTAAACTAAGACAAATACTGAGTCCTAATCAATTCAGCTGTTTCTGTACCTCACTTCTGCTTTCTGTAAGTCCCTTTTTTATTATCTGTCCGTAAATATTATTCAATCATGTGGCAAGCCAAGAGTTGTTCTGAACGTATTCTGGTTCAGGGAACTTCCTGATTTGCGAATCATTCTCTGCTCAATTAAACTCTGTTAAGCTTAATATGTCTAAAGTTTTTCTTTTAACAGAATTGACTAAGCACAGACATTATGTTGAGAAATATGGAAACTTAAAGGAGTCTTCTTCTCTGGAATGTCACTTATTATGATGTAAAACTGATGCTTCCCTAGCAGCCTGTTTTCTTAAAAAATAAAAAAAAAATAGAAAAAAAAAGCAAAGATCTCATGTTCACCAAAGGGCTATATATGTAACTTTATACCCAACAATGTACTAATAATGTCAGATTCAAAATTCATAAAAGTACTTGGAAATAACAATTAAAAATAATGTTATCAACAATAATGTTTTTATATTGGTCTAGTGATTTCTTATGGAGCCAATTTATTTTTTCTCTTTTAGGATATTATATGAATAATAGGGACAATTCTTAATGAGGATGAGCAGAAAGCATAAACCATAATCATGAGTAATTTGTCTATTCTGCTGTGGAAGTATGTGAATTATTTCACTCCTGTACCTTCAACAACCTCAATATAACCATGCACATATGCACTTTCAGAAACAAATCTTCAGTTTAGGAGATGCATAGTACTTCAAAATCATCTAGAAAATGCTCTAATATTTTAGCTTTTAGGGTTAGAAATTATATGGTATAACTGGAGGACAAAAACATAATAATGGTGATTATTTTTATTTTTATTTATTTATTTATTTATTTTTGTGACAGTCTCACTCTGTCACCCATGCTGGAGTGCAGTGGGATGATCTCAGCTTACTGCAACCTCCACTACCCGGGTTCAAGTGATTCTCCTGCCTCAGCCTCTCAAGTAGCTGGGATTACAGGTGTGCACCACCATGCCTGGCTAATTTTTGCATTTTTAGTAGAGACAGGGTCTCACCACGTTGGCCAGAATGGTCTCAAACTCCTGGCCTCAGGTGATCCTCCCACCTCGGCCTCTCAAAGTGCTGGGATTACAGGCTTGAGCCACCACTCCTGGCCTGGTGATTATTTTTAATCCAGAGCCTAAGAACATGTAATCCCAAAGAAAGAGGGAATTGGGCTTGGTCTAAGTTATGTCATATCATTTAAACACTACTGAAAAATAAAATGATCAACGTAGTACTGAGTTAGTACCTCCTAGAAGGATACTGAAGTATTCCAGCATCTACAAACTAATGAGCCCAAGAACAAAAACCTAAAGATATTGACAGTTGTGATTCCTTCAATTAAATGGTTTAGTTGCATGACAGACAATACAATCAGGCTTAATACTTGATGAGCCTGCCACATGCATACAAAGCTTTTATCTAAGGATCACGGGACATCTGATGAATGTCATAACTTGAAAAAGAGAAAAAAGGAAACAATTGTAACGAAAATAACTTAGAAGAAATTGAAACATTGAAACAAGAAGGGCTGGGGAAACCATGTATCTTCTTGACAAACTTGAGATGCTGAAAAATCCCTCCCTCCAAAAGAAACCTAAATGTTTAAAATAAAATAACAAGAACTACCCATTTTGGAAAATTAAATGACCTTCAAAAAAGTAAACAGAATTCTTTGTGGTCAGGTAAACAGCAGGAGTAAGAAATCCAGAAGAAATGAGAATATTAAGGTCTTCAGCTGTTTTGGGGACAACTTGGTAATTCTGTGCCTGGAGGTTGCTAATAAATTATGTGTCTTAGGTTTATGTGTGGACAGATTCAGAGAAGACAGGCACATTTGAGAAATACTCTAAAAATATAAGATTTAGATTGGGAGGATGGACTTCAAAGAAAATGCATTCTCTTGGGCTTGGCTCTGAGAGAGGTTACAACAGATGTTTTCCATGGTAATTTGTGAACACTGGGGAGTATGTGGATGGGTTTGAAATTGTCTACAAAATTTAAAAAGGGTCAAGAAGTGAATATATGCCTCAGTTAATATGGAAATAAATCAATAATTGAGCACAAAAAGAAAAATAAACTTAGGATTTGATCAAATTCAACGCCAATTCTTTCCAAAAATTCTTAGCAAACTAGCAAAAGAAGAAAATGTAATCTGTTAAAGCTTTCTCCTAAAATAAACAAGTGAACAAAAACAAAAACAGAAACAGAAAAACAAGTAATAATGAAATATCAAAAGCTTTCTTTCTGAGATCATAATGAGTAAATCATGCCACCTATCACAGCTTCTTATTAACAATGTGCTTGAGGACTGAGTCAGTGAAATAATCTCCTTTGTGATTTTGAGGTAGAGAATGATTGCTTAAACGTGACTGACATATGTCTTCCTATACATCCAAATAAATCTATATGGAGACTGGAAAAGAAGAAATGAAATTCTAATTATTTAAAGATAACATTACTATATATGTTAAAATTCAAAGAGAATATATAGAAAATCAATTCAAATTAATAAATACATTTAGCACAGCTGATGAGACAAATATTTTAGAAATTATTTATACTTCTACACATCGCAACTAACATTTATACAACTTTCTAAAAAATTGTATCATTTATGATAGATAGCATTAAGAATATTACATGCCTAGGAATAAATGAAATACCTAGGAGAAATATGTTAAAGATTTGTATGAAAGTATAAAATGGCCACATATTATTAGATACCTTTCCCACAAAGAGGTCTTGTCTATTCCTCTTCATGCTTTGAGCAACACAATGTGGCAAAAGTAACATTTTATCAGTTTGGGGGCTCAGACCTTAAGAGACTAGCAGCTTCTACTTCTCCTCTCAAGGAACACTTGCTATTGGAATTTAGCATCCAAATTGGGAGAAAAAGCAGGCATCTCCATGGAGAGATGCAGATACAACATCAACTGATTCCCCGGCCTGACAGTCATCAACCAACTTTTCAGCCATGTGAACCAGCCATTTTGGAAGTGGCCCCAGCTGAAGCCACACTGAAGAAAAACAAGCTGTCTTCACAAAGTCTTACTCTAATTGAATTCATGAGCTAGATAAAGTATTGTCTTAAGCCACTAAAGTTGGGTAGATTGGTATAACACAATAGATAACTGGGAAAATGTTAATGGCTTGAAACAGTCAGTATGGTAACAAAGTCAATTCTCTTCCATTAATTCTTCCAGTTCGGTGCAATATCAGTTAAAATTCAAGATACAAAAACAGTACATATGAGATGAGTATACTCATTTAATGTTTAAAATGAGTCAAAAGAAATCTATGGTGTTAGAAACATGATATCGGTTACTGTTGACAAGGGGTGAAATGGAAAAAATTTGGAGAACACAGAAATGTAGCTCCTTTGTGGATGGCAATATTGTATTCATTGATTTAGGTGCTGTTTACATGGGTGTATTTGCTGTGAGAAAAATCAAGCTAAACCTGTACAATCGGTGCAGATTTCTGTGTTCTTAATACTTACGGAAATGTCTGCCAACTTTATAAAAGGATTATAAAGTAGCATTTACAAAATAGAAAATATCCATACAGGATGGCAATGATTACATAAAGCTTTAGTTCTGAAAAATAATTGTATACATAATTTTATTTTGGAATACATAGACATGTAATAAAATTGTATTTTTGTGTGGGTACAATAAAAAGCAAATTTGGCAGAATAATACTTAGAAGTAAAATTGGGGTGCATAAGTTGGTTTTCAATGGTTTTATTAATATTTTATTTCTTGAAAATGACCTAAAAGAAAATGTGGAAGAATTATCAGAATTGATAAAGTTGAATGATGGTTAAACAAATATTAGTCTATTATACACTATAATTTTCTAAAAGATGCATAGGCTGGGTGTGGTGGCTCATGCCCATAATCCCAGCACTTTGGGAGGCTGAGGTGGGTGGATCACAAGGTCAGGAGATCGAGACCATCCTGGCCAACATGGTGAAACCCAGTCTCTATGAAAAAAAAAAAAAAAAAAAAAAAAAAAAATTAGCCAAGCGTGGTGGCACGTGCCTATAGTCCCAGCTACTCCGGAGACTAAGGCATGAGAATCGCTTGAACCCAGGAAGCAGAGTTTGCAGTGAGTGAAGATCATGCCACAGCACTCCAGCCTGGGTGACAGAGTGAGAACCTGTCTCAAAAAAAAAAAAATTCTATAAGATGAATAATAATTCATAATTTAAGAAAACATGATATATGACTGGGATCTCAATCTTTTAATTATCAACTAATTCCAACTGAGAAACTTGAATCCTAGTTCTGAATTCTGGTATTAGAATGCATTATGAATCCTAGCTCCAAATTTCAGTCGCAATTACTATCCTGCACATAAATATTTATGTACTAATGTACTATATAGCTTACAATATTACTATGGTAGATCTCATAGATCTTGTATTTTCACATTTCACCACTACAACTGAAAGAAAAAGAGAGAAAAAGCCAAAAATAAAAATGTTTAGACAGCTTTCCTCTTGCCTCCTTTAGTAAATTATTTCCATTGTCTTCTACTCTGTTCAAAATGGGAGCCAGGCACGGTGGCTCACGCCTGTAATGCCAGCACTTTGGGAGGCCAAGGCAGGTGGATCACTTAAGGCCAGGAGTTCGAGACCAGCCTGGCCAACATGGTGAAACCCTGTCTCTACTACAAAATATAAAAATTAGCTGGGTGTGGTGGTGGATGCCTGTAATCCCAGCTACTCAGGAGGCTGAGGCAGGAGAATCCCTTGAACCAGGGAGGTGGAGGTTGCAGTAAACTGAGATCACGCCACTCCATCCTGGGTGACACAGTGAGACTCCATCTTAAAAAAAAAAAAATACCAGAAAGAGGAGACTCTCCAGAAGTACTTTTTAAAAAAATGGCATAGTCTTATTTCAATTCTTATTACATTACTATCAAGGGAAAAAATTCCCATGCAGAATGGTGTCAAAAACTGTGGTAGAAGAAAAATTCAAACATACAATTCCTTTAGTCCTTCTTTAGAAATTCTAGGCCTGTAGATGTCTATTAGGTCTGCTTGGTGCAGGGCTGAGTTCAATTCCTGGGTATCCTTGTTAACTTTCTGTCTCGTTGATCTGTCTAATATTGACAGTGGGGTGTTAAAGTCTCCCATTATTATTGTGTGGGAGTCTAAGTCTCTTTGTAGGTCACTCAGGACTTACTTTATGAATCTGGGTGCTCCTGTATTGGGTGCATATATATTTAGGATAGTTAGCTCTTCTTGTTGAATTGATCCCTTTACCGTTATGTAATGGCCTTCTTTGTCTCTTTTGATCTTTGTTGGTTTAAAGTCTGTTTTATCAGAGACTAGGATTGCAACCCCTGCCTTTTTTTGTTTTCCATTTGCTTGGTAGATCTTCCTCCATCCTTTTATTTTGAGCCTATGTGTGTCTCTGCACGTGAGATGGGTTTCCTGAATACAGTACACTGATGGGTCTTGACTCTTTATCCAATTTGCCAGTCTGTGTCTTTTAATTGGAGCATTTAGTCCATTTACATTTAAAGTTAATATTGTCATGTGTGAATTTGATCCTGTCATTATGATGTTAGCTGGTTCTTTTGCTCGTTAGTTGATGCAGTTTCTTCCTAGCCGCGATGGTCTTTAAAATTTGGCATGATTTTGCAGCGGCTGGTACCAGTTGTTGCTTTCCATGTTTAGTGCTTCCTTCAGGAGCTCTTTTAGGGCAGGCCTGGTGGTGACAAAATCTCTCAGCATTTGCTTGTCTGTAAAGTATTTTATTTATCCTTCAGTTATGGAGCTTAGTTTGGCTGGATATGAAATTCTGGGTTGAAAATTCTTTTCCTTAAGAATGTTGAATATTCTCCACCCCAAATCAACAGAATATACATTTTTTTCAGAACCACACCACACCTATTCCAAATTGACCACATAGTTGGAAGTAGAGCTCTCCTCAGCAAATGTAAAAGATCAGACATTATAACAAACTGTCTCTCAGACCACAGTGCAATCAAACAAGAACTCAGGATTAAGAAACTCACTCAAAACCGCTCAACTACATGGAAACTGAACAACCTGCTCCTGAATGACTACTGGGTACATAACGAAATAAAGGCAGAAATAAAGATGTTCTTTGAAACCAATGAGAACAAAGACACAACATACCAGAATCTCTGGGACACATTCAAAGCAGTGTGTAGAGGGAAATTTATAGCACTAAATGCCCACAAGAGAAAGCAGGAAAGATCCAAAATTGACACCCTAATATCACGATTAAAAGAACTAGAAAAGCAAGAGCAAACACATTCAAAAGCTAGCAGAAGGCAAGAAATAACTAAAATCAGAGCAGAACTGAAGGAAATAGAGACACAAAAAACCCTTCATAAAATTAATGAATCCAGGAGCTGGTTTTTTGAAAGGATCAACAAAATTGATAGACTGCTAGCAAGACTAATAAAGAAGAAAAGAGAGAAGAATCAAACAGATGCAATAAAAAATGATAAAGGGGATATCACCACCAATCCCACAGAAATACAAACTACCATCAGAGAATCCTACAAACACCTCTACGCAAATAAACTAGAAAATCTAGAAGAAATGGATAAATTTCTCAACACATACACCCTCCCAAGACTAAACCAGGAAGAAGTTGAATCTCTTAATAGACCAATAGCAGGAGCTGAAATTGTGGCAATACTCAATAGCTTACCAACCAAAAAGAGTCCAGGACCAGATGGATTCACAGCCGAATTCTACCAGAGGTACAAGGAGGAACTGGTACCATTCCTTCTGAAACTATTCCAATCAATAGAAAAAGAGGGAATCCTCCCTAACTCATTTTATGAGGCCAGCATCATCCTGATACCAAAGCCGGGCAGAGACACAACCAAACAAGAGAATTTTAGACCAATATCCTTGATGAACATTGATGCAAAAATCCTCAATAAAATACTGGCAAACCGAATCCAGCAGCACATCAAAAAGCTTATCCACCATGATCAAGTGGGCTTCATCCCTGGGATGCAAGTCTGGTCCAATATACACAAATCAATAAATGTAATCCAGCATATAAACAGAACCAAAGACAAAAACCACATGATTATCTCAATAGATGCAGAAAAGGCCTTTTACAAAATTCAACACTTCATGCTAAAAACTCTCAATAAATTAGGTATTGATGGGACGTATCTCAAAATAGTAAGAGCTATCTATGACAAACCTACAGCCAATATCATACTGAATGGGCAAAAACTGGAAGCATTCCCTTTGAAAACTGGCACAAGACAGGGATGCCCTCACTCACCACTCCTATTCAACATAGTGTTGGAAGCTCTGGCCAGGGCAATCAGGCAGGAGAAGGAAATAAAGGGTATTCAATTAGGAAAAGAGGAAGTCAAATTGTCCCTGTTTGCAGATGACATGATTGTATATCTAGAAAACCCCATTGTCTCAGCCCAAAATCTCCTTGAGCTGATAGGCAACTTCAGCAAAGTCTCAGGATACAGGATACAAAATCAATGTACAAAAATCACAAGCATTCTTATACACCAATAACAGACAAACAGAGAGCCAAATCATGAGTGAACTCCCATTCACAATTGCTTCAAAGAGAATAAAATACCTAGGAATCCAACTTACAAGAGACGTGAAGGACCTCTTCAAGGAGAACTACAAACCACTGCTCAAGGAAATAAAAGAGGATACAAACAAATGGAAGAACATTCCATGCTCATAGGTAGGAAGAATCAATATCGTGAAAATGGCCATACTGCCCAAGGTAATTTACAGATTCAATGCCATCTCCATCAAGCTACCAATGACTTTCTTCACAGAATTGGAAAAAACTACTTTAAAGTTCATATGGAACCAAAAAAGAGCCCGCATTGCCAAGTCAATCCTAAGCCAAAAGAACAAAGCTGGAGGCATCACACTACCTGACTTCAAACTATACTACAAGGCTACAGTAATCAAAACAGCATGGTACTGGTACCAAAACAGAGATATAGATCAATGGAACAGAACAGAGCCCTCAGAAATAATGCCGCATATCTACAACTATCTGATCTTTGACAAACCTGAGAAAAACAAGCAATGGGGAAAGGATTCCCTATTTAATAAATGGTGCTGGGAAAACTGGCTAGCCATATGTAGAAAGCTGAAACTGGATCCCTCCCTTACACCTTATAAAAAATTAATGCAAGATGGATTAAAGACTTAAACGTTAGACCTCAAACCACAAAAACCCTAGAAGAAAACCTAGGCAATACCATTCAGGACATAGGCATGGGCAAGGACTTCATGTCTAAAACACCAAAAGCAATGGCAACAAAAGCCAAAATTGACAAATGGGATCTAATTAAACTAAAGAGCTTCTGCACAGCAAAAAAAACTACCGTCAGAGTGAACAGGCAACCTACAAAATGGGAGAAAATTTTCACAACCTACTCATCTGACAAAGGGCTAATATCCAGAATCTACAATGAACTCAAACAAATTTACAAGAAAAAAACAAACAACCCCATCAAAAAGTGGGCAAAGGACATGAACAGACACTTCTCAAAAGAAGACATTTATGCAGCCAAAAAACACATGAAAAAATGCTCACCATCACTGGCCATCAGAGAAATGCAAATCAAAACCACAATGAGATACCATCTCACACCTGTTAGAATGGCCATCATTAAAAAGTTAGGAAACAACAGGTGCTGGAGAGGATGTGGAGAAATAGGAACACTTTTACACTGTTGGTGTGACTGTAAATTAGTTCAACCATTGTGGAAGTCAGTGTGGCGATTCCTCAGGGATCTAGAACTAGAAATACCATTTGACCCAGCCATCCCATTACTGGCTATATACCCAAAGGACTATAAATCATGCTGCTATAAAGACACATGCACATGTATGTTTATTGCAGCACTATTCACAATAGCAAAGACTTGGAACCAACCCAAATGTCCAACAATGATAGACTGGATTAAGAAAATGTGGCACATATACACCATGGAATACTATGCAGCCATAAAAGATGATGAGTTCATGTCCTTTGTAGGGACATGGATGAAATTGGAAATCATCATTCTCAGTAAACTATCGCAAGAACAAAAAACAAACACCATATATTCTCACTCATAGGTGGGAATTGAACAATGAGAACACATGGACACAGGAAGGGGAACATCACACTCTGGGGACTGTTGTGGGTGGGGGGAGGGGGGAGGGATAGCTTTAGGAGATATACCTAATGCTAAATGACGAGTTAATGGGTGCAGCACACCAGCATGGCACATGTATACATATGTAAGTAACCTGCACATTGTGCACACGTACCCTAAAACTTAAAGTATAATGATAATAAAATAAAATAAAATAAAAAGATATTCCTGGAAAAAAAAAAGAAAAAGAAATTCTAGGCCTACGTTTCCGTTGTGTCCTGTACGTTCTTTACCCGATCAAGTCTAATGTTCTCCAGGGCTGAAATCTGAGGTGGGAGAGGAAAAGTAAGAGGGGGTGAGACTTATAGTGTTACTAGGATTGGAACATGTATCTAACATATTAGTAATTTCTCAGTACGTATTTAATAAACTAGAGAGAAATAATTCCTAGATACCAATTCCATAGATTTGTTTTGTGGAATTCATATATTTATTTTTAAACTGATTTCCCAGAATATTTGGTGGTAAATCAATAAACTGACAATAATATTTTTTAAAATTTATTAGTTTTGTAAACATATTTCTGAGAAACATATTTTTGTTAGACTGATTTTTAAAAAACTTTTTCTTTTTATAATTATTATCCAATTAGTTTTAATAATGGTTTTATGTCAGCTTAAGTGCACCTTTTAAAAGATTATAATTTTGCATTTTGCTAAGTACACTTGATATATAAAACTGTATCTATGTAAAAGATAGTCTTATAGTCCACAATAATATTCAGTAGAAATATTTTAAGAGGCAATTTTCAAAATATATTTTATTTAAAAATTATTCACAGTAGGCTGTAAAGATGATGGAGTAGGAAGACTCAGGAATCTGTACCACCATGTAATCAATTGCATTGGCATAATGTGTCTTATGTAACAATTTTGGAACTCTGGAGTCTATTGAAGCCTTCCAACTTCCAGGGCAGGGCTTGGATGGTAAGTTGCAGTTATTTATTTATTTATTTACTTATTTATTTATTTTCAATTTCAGCTCTTAGCACAGTAACAGTTACTCATCCCCACCCTCTGCCTTATGACAGGCAGTTGTACACTTGTTCCCAGGGCCACCTGAACACAGCTTTCAGAAGCCAGGATTGGCAAAAAAAGGACTCTGTCTTCCAAATATTAGAGATCTTTGCTCTAATAATTGGTTTCCATGTCTTATCACAGAGATGCACACAAAGGGGCTGGCAGTCATTGCTGTTTTACCTTCCTCCATTGTAGCAAACACGGCCCCCTTTTTCTAAAGTGACTTCCAGAGAGATTTAATGACTCAGTGACCATTTCTTCACTCTTGTATTTTCTCTTTCCCCCCTTTTGGTAACCAGAGATTAAAGCACAATAATTTAAGTATACTTTTATATAAGGAAATTAAAAAGTGATTGTGTGTGCCCAGAGAAAAGTGCAGGTTCTTAAAAGACCTACAAACACCCTAAATTTATAATTCAGACTGATTATTGGCACAGACATTCTAGAAAATATTTTTAAAAAACAACAACAATAATAAATAAGTAAAAGCAATTACAAAGAACAACATACCCTAGGTAAGGGGGAGAATCCGATTTCCACAGTATAAAACTTAGTAGGTTCAAATATTCATTTTTTGAGAAAAAATTACAAGGCATTTGAAGAGAATAGAAAGTATGGCCCATTAAAATGAAAAAAAAATCAATAAAAACTGCCTCTGAAAATGATAGATCTACCAAACAAAGACTTGAAAATAACTTTCTTAAAGATGTTTGAAGAACTAAAGAAAAATGTGGGGAACACATTTATAATAATAAACAAGAAACAACAATAAATTAGAAATATTAATAAAAAGAAATCTTAAAAATAAACCAAAAAGAAATTCTAAAACTTATAATTGCAATATTTGAAATAAAAACATTCATTAAAGGAATTCAAAGGCAATTTTGAGTAAGCCAAAAAAAAAATTAGTGAACTTGAAGATAAGATAATGTAAAGTATTGGGTCTGAGGAACAGAAAAAAAAGATTGAAGAAAAGTTACCAGAGCCTAAATGACCTATGGGACACCATGAAGCCGATCAACATATGTATTTTGGGAGTCTTAGAAGAGAAATGAAAAGAGAAATGATAAGAGAGAATATTTATAAAAAATAATGGCTGGAAACTTTCCAGTTTGATGAAAAACATGAATATAAACCTCCTAAAAAATAAGATGAACTCAAAGACACCCATGAAAAGACAAATTGTAATTGAACTTTTGAAAGATAAAGATATAATCTTGAAAGTTGCAAGAGAAAAGTGATTTTTTACGTATGAATACTCTTCAGTAATATTATCAACAGATTTCTTTCTTCTTTTTTTTTTTTGAAGATGGAGTTTCGCTCTTGTTGCCCAGGCGGGAATGCAGTGGCGTGATCTCAGCTCACTGCAACCTCTGCCTCCTGGGTTCAAATGATTCTCCTGCCTCAGCCTCCTGAGTAGCTGGGATTACAGGCTCCCAAAACCATGCCCAGCTAATTTTGGTATTTTTATTTGAGACAGGGTTTCACCATGTTGGCCAGGCTGGTTTTGAACTTCTGAACTCAGGTGATCCACCCACCTTGGCCTCCCAATTTTTGTAAACTTAAAAATTTACGAAGTTTAAGAAACATACTCTTACACATTGCCAAATAATTGGGCTGGGATTACAGGCATGAGCCATCATGCCCGGCCTATCAAGAGACTTCTTAGTAACTTTGGAGACTAGAAGACAGTGGGCTAATATACTCCGAGTTAATTAAAAAAAAAAAAGAACTGTCAACCAATAATCCTATGTATAGCAAATCTGTTCTTCAAAATTAAGGAAGAAATCAGGATGTTCTCAGACAAACAAAAGCTGAGGAAGCTTGTTACCATTAGACCTGTCATTCAAGAAATGTTTAAGGGATTTCTACAAGGCAAAAATGAAATCACAGCTGATAGTAACTTGAAGCCATGTGAAAAATTTTAGATCTTAATAAAGGTAAACACATGGGCAATTATAAAAGCTAGAACTCTTATAACTTTGGCTTCTAACTCAACAGTTTTTTGTTTATAATTTAATAGAAAAATGCATTTAAAATAATCATTAGTATATATTTTGGGGCACACAATGTATAAACTTAATGTTTGATATCAATTTTCAAAACGGGTGGAGATGAAGCTTTTAAAGGAGCAGAGTTTTTGTATGCTATTAAAGTTAATATAAATAAATTTTAATTGGAATATTACAATTTTAAGAGTCTAAATTTAATTTCATGGTAACTACAAAAAGTATACTATACAAAAAGATCTCATACATGAATTTAAATATTTTACTCCACAATACAAATAAACACAATAGCTGACAGTAATGCAGGAAACGAGGATCCAAAAAGCAATTAGGCATATAAATAACAAAAAGAAAAGTAACAAAATTAAGACTCAATTTTTCAGTAATTACTTGGCAGAAAATGTATTACACTCTTCAAATGAAAGACACAAATTGGCAGAATGGATTTAAACAACCTTCATAAAACTATACGCTGTCTACAGGTGACTCACTTTATATTCAATGACACAAATATAACGAAAGTGAAAGAACGGAAAATTATATAACATGCAAATGGTAAATAAAAGGGAGCAGGAGTGGCTATATTAATAGAAGACAAAATAGACTTTCATCAAAAAAGCTTACAGGAGACAAAGAAGGATATTATGCAATAATAAAAAGTTCTATATAACAAGAAAATAGAACAATTATAAACATTTATATACCTAATATAGACTATCAAAATATATCAAATTGACAAAATTAAAGGGAGAAACTTCAGGCAGTTGTTCAATGATAGCTGGAAATTGCAAAATCCCACTTTCAATAATGGATAGAACAACCAGACATAAGTAAGCAAGTAGAGTACTAAAACCAGTAAATCTAACAGACATATACAGATTATTCAGTCAACAACAGCCTACACTGTTACATCGGGCACATGGAACATTTTCTAGGATTAACCATATGTTAGGCCAAATATGAAGTCTCAATAGATAGTTATTATACAGTATCTTTTCTAACCAAAATGGGATTAAGTTAGAAATCAATAGCAGTAGTAAATCTTAAAAATTTACAAAATTTAAGAAACATACTCTTACACATTGCCAATGGATCCAGTAATTCACAGGAAAATTAGAAAATACTTAGAGATGAATTAAAATGAAAACATAGCACACTGAAACACAGAACAGAGCAAAAACAGTATGCAGGGTGAAATTTATAGTTATACATGCTTACATTAAAAAACAAGAAAGATCTAGAATCGAAAACCTGATTTACAACTTGCAAAACTAAAAAAAAAAAAAAAAAGAATTCCAAAGGTAATAGAAAGAAGGAAATAAGAAAGATTAGAACAGAGATAAATGAAATTGAGGATAGAGAAACAATAGAGAAAATCAATGAAACCAAAAGGTAGTTCTTTAAAAGGTTCAATAAAATTGCTAAACCTTTAGCTAGATAAGAAAAAAAGAATGACTATTCGAGTGACTAAAATCAGAAATCAAAGTGGGTACATTACTACCTATTCTACAGAAATATTAAGGATTATAAGAGAGTACTGTGAACAAATTGTACACTAAGAAATTGGATAACCTAGATAAAATAGACAAACTTCTAGAAACACAAAAGCTACAAAGACTAATTCAGAAAAAATGAAATATCTGAATAAAGCTAAAACTAGTAAGGAGATTGAATCAGTAATCAAAACTCTCCCAACAAAGGGCCAGGACCTGTTGGCTTTACAAGTGAATTCTACCAAATATTTAAAGATAATTGAACACCAATTTTTCTTGAACATTTACAAAAAAAAAAAAAAAAAAGAAGGAGAAAAGAAGAAGCAGTAGCAAAGAGCAAAGGAAACACTTCCTTATCCTATGAAGTCTGCATTACCTCAATACCAAAACCAGACCTAGACACTACAAGAAAAGTACAGACTAATAGCTCTTCCGAACATTGATGGAAAAATCCCCAACAAAATGCTAGCAGTCTGAATTTAGCACTACATTAAAGTGATTATAAACCATGAGTAGGCTGGTGTGGTGGCTCATGCCTGTATTCCTAGCACCTTGGGAGGACAAGGCAGGTGGATCACTTGAGGTCAGGGGTTCGAAACCAGCCTGGCCAACATGGTGAAACCTCATCTCTACTAAAAATACAAAAAATTAGCTGGGTGTGGTGGTGGGCGCCTGTAATCCCAGCTACTTGGGAGGCTGAGGTAGGAAAATTGTTTGAACCCAGGAGGCAGAGGTTGCAGTGAGCCGAGATCGCACCACTGCACTCCAGCCTGGGCAACCGAGTGAGACTCTGCCTCGAAACACAACACAACAAAACAAAACAACATGACTAAATGGTATTTATTTCTGGAATGCAACAATGACAATGTATGAAAATCAATTGATATAATACACCATATTGATTAAGTGGTGGGAATAAACCACATGATCGTCTCAATTGATGCAGTAAATGCATTTGACAAAATTCAACATTCTTCCATGACAAAAACCCTCATCAAACAAGGAACAAATGGAAAGAACCTCAATGTAATAAAAGATATATATATAAAAAATCCATAGCAATCATCATGCTAAAGGAAGTGAAAGCTTTTTTTTTCTAAGTTCAAAAACAAAGCAAACGTTTAACTTTTGCCACTCTGGTTCAACGGAGTACTATACATTCTAGCCAGAGAAATTAGGCAAGAAAAAGTAATAAAGGCATTTAATTTGGAAGTAAAAAGTACAATTATCTCTTCACAGATGGTACGATTAGCTACATGCAAAACACTAAAGATTTCACACACAGACACACACACACACACACACACACACACACACACGCAAACTGTAAGAAATAATAAATGAATTCACCAAAGTAGCAGGATACAAAGTCAATGCACAAAATTCAGTTTCGTTTCTATACACTATCATCATACAACCTGGAAAGAAATAAAGAAAAGCTTCTATTTTCTATAATAGCATCACAAAGAATAAAATACTTAGGAATTAATCAATGAGACGAAATCTTGTTTAATGAAAACTACAAAACATTGGCGACATAAATTAAAGAAGGCACAGAAATAGAAACTCATCCCATGTTTATGGATTGGAAGGCTTAATATCATTTTATCAATGCTACCCAAATCAATTTACAGATTAAATGCAATTCCTATTAAAATCCAAATGACTTTGCAGAAACAGAAAAACCCATCTTCAAATTCATATGGGATATCAAGGGATGCCGAATGGCAAAATCAATTTTGAAACATGAAGAAAGTAATAAGACCCACCCTTCTTGATTTCAAAATTTATTACAAAGCTAAGTATTCAGAAATGTGTGGTACTGGCATAAAGACAGCCACATAAATCAGTGAAATAGAATAGAAAGCCCTGAAATAAACCCTTACATATATGGTCAAATGATTTTTGACAAGGATGCTAAGATCATTTCATGAGGAAAGGACAATCTTTTTAACATAGTGTGGCAAAAAATTAATATCCACAAGCAAAAGAATGAAGTTGTCCTTTACCTTGTACTACATATAAGAATTAACTCAAATGGAATCAAAAGAATAAATGTAAGGTCTAAAACTATAAAACAGTTAGAATGAAATATAGAACAAAACTGTATGACTTTGGATTTGGCAGTTTCTTGGAGATGACACCAAAGACACAGGCAACAAAAGAAGAAATAGTCAAATTTTAACCACGTAATTTTTTAAAAATATGTGTATCAAAGGACAATATCAACAGAGTTACACAACACCCCACAGAATGGTAAAACATATTTGCAAATCATATATCTAGTAAGCGATTAATATCCAGAATACATAGAGGGCTCCTGAAACTCAGGAAAAACAAAAGCCAAACAACTCAATTCAAACATAGGAAAATGACTTGAATAGACTTTTCTCCAAAAAATTTACAAATGGCCAATACGTACATAACAAGATGCTCTACATCACTAATTATTAGGGAAATGCAAGTCAAAACTACAAAGAGATACCACGTCACACCCATTAGAATATCTAGTATGAAAAAAAGCAGAAAATAACAAGTTTTGGTGAGGATGAGGATGTAGAGAATTTGGAACACTTTTGCACTTTGTGTGGGAATGTAAAACATTGAAGCCACAGTGGAAAACAGTATGACAGTTCCTTATACAATTAGAAATGCTATTATAATATAATTGATCAATTTCACTGCTAGGTGTATATCCACAAGAATCAAAATTAGAGTCTCAAAGAGATATTTGTACTCCTATGTTCTGAGCGCATTATTCACGTAACTAAAATGTGGAAATAATTCAAGTGTCCATCGATGGATGGATGGATAAACACAATATTGTATATACACATGAAATATTATTCAGCTTTAAAAAGGAATAAAATTCTGACATAATGCTACAACAGGAATAAACCTTGAGGACATTACACTAAGTGAAATAAGCCAGTTACAAAAAGACAACGTATGATACCACTTACATGAGGTACTGAGAGTAGTCAAAATCAAAAAGACAGAAAATAGAATGATGGTTGCCAGGGACTGGCAGGGGCAATGGGGGAGAACAGGGATTTATGTTTAATGGGTATAGAGTTTAAATTTTACAAGATGAAAACAGTTATGGAAATGGATGGTGGTCATGGTTGCACAATATTATGAATATATTTAATACCACTGAACTATACAATTAGAAATGGCTAAAATGATAAATTTTGTTATATGCATTTTACCACAATAAAAAAGAAAGAAAAAATTATTAACAGTAGACTTTCATAAGAATATTAAATAAGGTAAGCTATAACTACACCGAGATTATTTATTAGAAATATTCTGGGTTTGCTTTCTACATATTTTTTGTAAAATTCCCACCATTACAATCTATCAATTGGAAAAATATCTTATTTAATCTGATTTACAGTTACACAGCTAAAAAAATATGTTATGAGACTTTTTTGGTTTGCCTCAAAATTTGAAGGATTGGTCAGTGCTGCAGGCAACAAAGCAGACTAAGAGGACTAAAGATTTTTCCAAGGAAAATAGTAATGTATCTTAAACTCTGTACAGAAACTCTGCATCCAGAATTATTACTATGTGGTATAAAATGTAGTTATTGTTCAAAGGAAACATAGTTTATTGGGTTAGATAAAAGCAAAATATTTAATAATAAAACACCAAGCATTCAACTAAGAATACTTAGGGGACGAAGACGACTCAATGCAAAAATCTATGCATTTGTTAAATTATATAGAACTTTGTAACAGAGTGAAACTTAATGTATGTAAAGTAAAATATCATAATAATTTAGAGGGTCAAGGATCCTAGGATGGCACACAGAATGTGACAAAACAATATAACTGTATTACAAATGTATGAAGTAATATCACTGAAGGAAGTAGGGAAAAAGATGCTGCCATAAATAAATTCTGAATTGTGGGGTGTCTGTGAGACCACAGGAAAAAGTGAGTATAAATAAGCATTGTGTATATACTATATGATACGTTCTTTACCACAGGATTGTGTGTTAATTCAGACAGTACCACTCATGCATACTAGATCTGAGCAATTAAGTAAAAGAATGGTGGAAGCCTGTTCTCCCTATTGTAGTGGGAGTTTATAGTTAAGCAAGAGGAAGTTAGAATGATCCATGTGGTCCTTGATTACAGTTAAGGACATCGGTATGTGCTACGGTTTAACTTACTATAGATACATAATATTGCATTTGAAATATTTGTAGATATTTATATATTGCTACTTGCATTTTCTTGCTCTGCCAGCTGAGAGAGTTTAGATAAAATAACATCCCAGCAAGTTAGAAATAATGATTTCCAAGCCACACAGTAGGGGAAGAGAAAAAAAGAATAATTTTACAATAGAAAGACCTGATAAACACTACCTCAATGAAATGATCAGGTTTCACATCGGCAGTGATGTCGTGTTAAGAGTATGTACCCTTAATATGATGTGATAAAAATGACAGTGTGTCTCTCACATCTTCCTCCCCAAAACACATAACCTCACTTTTAACAAGAGAGGAACACCAGACAAATCCCAATTAAGGCACATTCTGCAAATACCTGAGCAGCACACCTCAAAACTATATCATTAAAAATAGGGAATGACTGAGAAACTGTCACAGCCAAGAAGAGCCTAAGGAGATACAATTAGTAAATGTCATATGGTAACTCGCATGGGATCCTGGATAAATGTTAAGATATTACGTAGAGAGGAAATTCGGTGCAGTATAAATGGAACTCTGTAAACTATCTTTGCAATTCAAAACTTCAAAAAAGTTTTTTAAAAAATATATGTCCCCCCCTTTTTTTTTTTTTTTTTGAGACAGAGTCTCACTCTGTCTCCAGTTTGGAGTGCAGTGGCACGATCCCGGCTCACTGCAAACCACCGCCTCCCGGGTTGAAGCAATTCTCCTGCCTCAGCCTCCCTAGTAGCTGGGATTACAGGCACGTGCCACCACGCCCAGCTAATTTTTGTATTTTTAGTAGAGACGGGGTTTCACCATGTAGGCCAGGATGGTCTCTACCTCTTGACCTCATGATCCACCCACCTCAGCCTCTCAAAGTGCTGGGATTACAGGCATGAGCCTCTCCGCCCAGCCAAGGCTTAAAGTACATAATGTTTTAGAGCTTGATCCGTGATCACCAAATATCTGATCACACAAATGTGAATAAAATAGAACAAAAGTAGAATCCATTAACTAAAAACTTACTATAAACTAAGTTATGTTCTGGGAACATTATAAGCAGAAATCAATTCTTCGAAACAACTTTTCAAAAATAAAATTATCAAACTACTATGTATTGATATTTTAATGTATTTGAAGAACTGTTGTAAGTGCTCTTTATACATTGTCTCACTTATTCTTCACAGCATTTTGAAGTATGTATTATACTTTTATTAAATGAAGATACGAATACTCTGGAAGCTTTCATAACCTAACATTGTGCAATGGGCAAGTAGATGCATGTAAAATTCAAATGAGGCTGCTTGATTTTACTTTATTCTTAAAAATTATACAATACTATCTATCTCATTTAATCTTCATGGAAGTACTTTTACATAGATGACAACATTAACCTCAACCTATAGATGAGTAAAATTAGTTCAACCACTGTGGAAGTCGGTGTGGCGATTCCTCAGGGATCTAGAACTAGAAATACCATTTGACCCAGCCATCCCATTACTGGGTATATACCCAAAGGATTATAAATCATGCTGCTATAAAGACACATGCACACGTATGTTTATTGCAGCACTATTCACAATAGCAAAGACTTGGAACCAACCCAAATGTCCAACAATGATAGACTGGATTAAGAAAATGTGGCACATACACACCATGGAATACTAAGCAGCCATAAAAAATGATGAGTTCATGTCCTTTGTAGGGACATGGATGAAGCTGGAAACCATCATTCTCAGCAAACGATTGCAAGGACAACAAACCAAACACTGCATGTTTTCACTCATAGGTGGGAATTGAACAATGAGAACACATGGACACAGGAAGGGGAACATCACACACTGGGGCCTGTCGTGGGGCGGGGGGAGGGCGGAGGGATAGCATTAGGTGATATACTTAATGCTAAATGACGTGTTAATGGGTGCAGCACAGCAACATGGCACATGTATACTTATGTAACAAACCTGCACATTGCGCACATGTACCCTAAAACCTGAAGTATAATAATAATAATAATAATAATAATAATAATAATTATGTACACTTAAAAGTTAATAACCCAATAACAAACCCAGTAAAAGACACACTGTGTCTGGGTCTGCAATGCTTATTTTTTCTTTTGATGTTCTGATCTTGCATCATGAGGCAAAAGCCAAATAACTCTAATCGACAAACATTCTGCCTGTACTTTGAGGGATACAAAGATTTTGCCCTCATAAAACATGTATATTTATGTAAATGTATGTGTGTTTATGTACTTAGATATATGTATGTATATATACATATACAAACATAAATATACATATATATACAGTGTGTGTTTGTGTGTGTGTGTGTGTGTGTGTATATATATATGTATAAATATATCTGTTAGAACAAGGTCCACCTGACTATGGCATACCTCTTAAAATAATAGTAGCATAAACAAGATAGATGTATAATGTCTCTCAAGCAGAAGAAATATAGGAATAACCAGTGAAGAGCTAAATAGCTCTCAGCAGTGTGACAGTTAAACCTTCTTTTCATTTTGCTTTTCTCTCATCTTTAGTTACTATCCCAGTAAAAACATTTTGGCTCAAGTCTTCACATTCCATATTCCAATAAATTAAAATTGGGTACAATAATAGAAAGGCACAGAACCTCACATTTAGGAGCCAAGATGGCCGAATAGGAACAGCTCCGGTCTACAGCTCCCAGCCTAAGCGACGCAGAAGACGGGTGATTTCTGCATTTCCATCTGAGGTACCGGGTTCATCTCACTAGCGAGTGCCAGACAGTGGGCGCAGGTCAGTGAGTGCACGCACTGTGCACGAGCCAAAGCAGGGCGAGGCATTGCCTCACTCAAGAAGTGCAAGGGGTCAGGGAGTTCCCTTTCCTAGTCAAGGAAAGTGGTGACAAACGGCACCTGGAAAATCGGGTCACTCCCACCTGAATACTGCGCTTTTCCGATGGGTTTAAAAAACGGCACACCAGCAGATTATATCCCGCACCTGGCTCAGAAAGTCCTACGCCCACGGAGTCTCGCTGACTGCTAGCACAGCAGTCTGAGGTCAAACTGCAAGGCGGCAGCCAGGCTGGGGGAGGGGCGCCCGCCATTGCCCAGGCTTGCTTAGGTAAACAAAGTAGCCAGGAAGCTCCAACTGGGTGGAGCCCACCACAGCTCAAGGAGGCCTGCCTGCATCTGTAGGCTCCACCTCTGGGGGCAGGGCACAGACAAACAAAAAGACAGCAGTAACCTCTGCAGACTTAAATGTCCCTGTCTGACAGCTTTGGAGAGAGCAGTGGTTCTCCCAGCACGCAGCTGGAGATCTGAGACAGGCAGACTGCCTCCTCAAGTGGGTCCCTGACCCCCTGACCCTCCAGCAGCCTAACTGGGAGGCACCCCCTAGCAGGGGCAGACTGACACCTCACACGGCCAGGTACTCCAACAGACCTGCAGCTGAGGGTCCTGTCTGTTAGAAGGAAAACTAACAAACAGAAAGGACATCCACACCAAAAACCCATCTGTACATCAGCATCATCAAAGACCAAAAGTAGATAAAACCACAAAGATGGGGAAAAAACAGCAGAAAAACTGGAAACTCTAAAAAGCAGAGCGCCTCTCCTCCTCCAGAGGAACGCAGTTCCTCACCAGCAACGGAACAAAGCTGGACGGAGAATGACTTTGACGAGTTGAGAGAAGAAGGCTTCAGATGATCAAATTACTCCGAGCTATGGGAGGACATTCAAACCAAAGGCAAAGAAGTTGAAAACTTTGAAAAAAATTTAGAAGAATGTATAACTAGAATAACCAATACAGAGAAGTGCTTAAAGGAGCTGATGGAGCTGAAAACCAAGGCTTGAGAACTACGTGAAGAATGCAGAAGCCTCAGGAGCCGATGTGATCAACTGGAAGAAAGGGTATCAGCGATGGAAGATGAAATGAATGAAATGAAGCGAGAAGGGAAGTTTAGACAAAAAAGAATAAAAAGAAACGAGCAAAGCCTCCAAGAAATATGGGACTATGTGAAAATACCAAATCTACGTCTGATTGGTGTACCTGAAAGTTATGGGGAGAATGGAACCAAGTTGGAAAACACTCTGCAGGATATTATCCAGGAGAACTTCCCCAATCTAGCAAGGCAGGCCAACATTCAGATTCAGGAAATACAGAGAATGCCACAAAGATACTCCTCGAGAAGAGCAACTCCAAGACACATCACTGTCAGATTCACTAAAGTTGAAATGAAGGAAAAAATGTTAAGGGCAGCCAGAGAGAAAGGTCGGATTACCCTCAAAGGGAAGCCCATCAGAATAACAGCAGATTTCTCGGCAGAAACTCTACAAGCCAGAAGAGAGTGGGGGCCAATATTCAACATTCTTAAAGAAAAGAATTTTCAGCCCAGAATTTCATATCCAGCCAAACTAAGCTTCATAAGTGAAGGAGAAATAAAATACTTCACAGACAAGCAAATGCTGAGAGATTTTGTCACCACCAGGCCCGCCCTAAAAGAGCTCCTGAAGGAAGCGCTAAACATGGAAAGGAACAACCGGTACCAGCCGCTGCAAAATCATGCCAAAATGTAAAGACCATCGAGACTAGGAAGAAACTGCATCAACTAACAAGCAAAAGAACCAGCTAACATCATAATGACAGGATCAAATTCACACATAACAATATTAACTTTAAATGTAAATGGACTAAATGCTCCAATTAAAAGACACAGACTGGCAAATTGGATAAAGAGTCAAGACCCATCAGTGTGCTGTATTCAGGAAACCCATCTCACGGGCAGAGACACACATAGGCTCAGAATAAAAGGATGGAGGAAGATCTACCAAGCAAATGGAAAACAAAAAAAAGGCAGGGGTTGCAATCCTAGTCTCTGATAAAACAGACTTCAAACCAACAAAGATCAAAGGAGACAAAGAAGGCCATTACATAATTTTAAAGGGATCAATTCAACAAGAAGAGCTAACTATCCTAAATATATATGCACCCAATACAGGAGCACCCAGATTCATAAAGTAAGTCTTGAGTGACCTACAAAGAGACTTAGACTCCCACACAATAATAATGGGAGACTTTAACACCCCACTGTCAACATTAGACAGATCAACAAGACAGAAAGTCAACAAGGATACCCAGGAATTGAACTCAGCCCTGCACCAAGCGGACCTAATAAACATCTACAGAACTCTCCATCCCAAATCAACAGAATATACATTTTTTTCAGCACCACACCACACCTATTCCAAAATTGACCTAATAGTTGGAAGTAAAGCTCTCCTCAGCAAATGTAAAAGAACAGAAATTATAACAAACTATCTCTCAGACCACAGTGCAATCAAACTAGAACTCAGGATTAAGAATCTCACTCAAAACCGCTCAACTACATGGAAACTGAACAACCTGCTCCTGAATGACTACTGGGTACATAACGAAATGAAGGCAGAAATAAAGATGTTCTTTGACACCAGCGAGAACAAAGACACCACATATCAGAATCTCTGGGACACATTCAAAGCAGTGTGTAGAGGGAAATTTATAGCACTAAATGCCCACAGGAGAAAGCAGGAAAGATCCAAAATTGACACCCTAATATCACAATTAAAAGAACTAGAAAAGCAAGAGCAAACACATTCAAAAGCTAGCAGAAGGCAAGAAATAACTAAAATCAGAGCAGAACTGAAGGAAATAGAGACACAAAAAACCCTTGAAAAAATTAACGAATCCAGGAGCTGGTTTTTTGAAAGGATCAACAAAATTGATAGACCGCTAGCAAGACTAATAAAGAAAAAAAGAGAGAAGAATCAAATAGACGCAATAAAAAATGATAAAGGGGATATCACCACCGATCCCACAGAAATACAAACTACCATCAGAGAATACTACAAACACCTCTACTCAAATAAACTAGAAAATCAGAAGAAATGGATTAATTCCTCGAAACATACACTCTCCCAAGACTAAACCAGGAAGAAGTTGAATCTCTGAATAGACCAATAGCAGGAGCTGAAATTGTGGCAATACTCAATAGCTTACCATCCAAAAAGAGTCCAGGACCAGATGGATTCACAGCCGAATTCTACCAGAGGTACAAGGAGGAACTGGTACCATTCCTTCTGAAACTATTCCAATCAATAGAAAAAGAGGGAATCCTCCCTAACTCATTTTATGAGGCCAGCATCATCCTGATACCAAAGCCGGGCAGAGACACAACCAAACAAGAGAATTTTAGACCAATATCCTTGATGAACATTGATGCAAAAATCCTCAATAAAATACTGGCAAACCGAATCCAGCAGCACATCAAAAAGCTTATCCACCATGATCAACTGGGCTTCATCCCTGGGATGCAAGGCTGGTTCAATATAGGCAAATCAATAAATGTAATCCAGCATATAAACAGAACCAAAGACAAAAACCACATGATTATCTCAACAGATGCAGAAAAGACCTCTGACAAAATTCAACAACCTTCATGCTAAAAACTCTCAATAAATTAGGTATTGTTGGGACATATCTCAAAATAATAAGAGCTATCTATGACAAACTCACAGCCAATATCATACTGAATGGGCAACAACTGGAAGCATTCCCTTTGAAAATGGGCACAAGAAAGGGATGCCCTCTCTCACCACTCCTATTCAACATAGTGTTGGAAGTTCTGGCCAGGGCAATTAGGCAGGAGAAGGAAATAAAGGATATTCAATTAGGAAAAGAGGAAGTCAAATGTCCCTGTTTGCAGATGACATGACTGTATATCTAGAAAACCCCACTGTCTCAGCCAAAAATCTCCTTATGCTGATAAGCAACTTCAGCAAAGTCTCAGGATACAAAATCAATGTAAAAAAATCACAAGCATTCTTATACACCAATAACACACAAACAGAGAGCCAAATCATGAGTGAACTCCCATTCACAATTGCTTCAAAGAGAATAAAATACCTAGGAATGCAACTTACAAGGGATGTGAAGGACCTCTTTAAGGAGAACTACAAACCACTGCTCAAGGAAATAAAAGAGGATACAAACAAATGGAAGAACATTCCATGCTCATGGGTAGGAAGAATCAATATCGTGAAAATGGCCATACTGCCCAAGGTAATTTACAGATTCAATGCCATCTGCATCAAGCTACCAATGACTTTCTTCACAGAATTGGAAAAAACTACTTTAAAGTTCATATGGAACCAAAAAAGTGCCCGCATTGCCAAGTCAATCCTGAGCCAAAAGAACAAAGCTGGAGGCATCACACTACCTGACTTCAAACTATACTACAAGGCTACAGTAACCAAAACAGCATGGTACTGGTACCAAAACAGAGATATAGATCAATGGAACAGAACAGAGTCCTCAGAAATAACACCACATATCTACAACTATCTGATCTTTGACAAACCTGAGAAAAACAAGCAATGGGGAAAGGATTCCCTATTTAATAAATGGGGCTGGGAAAACTGGCTAGCCATATGTAGAAGGCTGAAACTGGATCCCTTCCTTACACCTTATACAAAAATCAATTCAAGGTGGATTAAAGACTTAAATGTTAGACCTAAAACCATAAAAACTCTAGAAGAAAACCTAGGCATTACCATTCAGGACATAGGCATGGGCAAGGACTTCATGTCTAAAACACCAAAAGCAATGGCAACAAAAGCCAAAATTGACAAATGGGATCTAATTAAACTAAAGAGCTTCTGCACAGCAAAAGAAACTACCATCAGAGTGAACAGGCAACCTACAAAATGGGAGAAAATTTTCACAACCTACTCATCTGACAAAGGGCTAATATCCAGAATCTACAATGAACTCAAACAAATTTACAAGAAAAAAACAAACAACCCCATCAAAAAGTGGGCAAAGGACATGAACAGACATTTCTCAAAAGAAGACATTTATGCAGCCAAAAAACACATGAAAAAATGCTCATCATCACTGGCCATCAGAGAAATGCAAATCAAAACCACAATGAGATACCATCTCACACCAGTTAGAATGGCAATCATTAAAAAGTCAGGAAAGAACAGGTGCTGGAGAGGATGTGGAGAAATAGGAACACTTTTACACTGTTGGTGTGACTGTAAATTAGTTCAACCATTGTGGAAGTCAGTGTGGCGATTCTTAAGGGATCTAGAACTAGAAATACCATTTGACCCAGCCATCCCATTACTGGCTATATACCCAAAGGACTATAAATCATGCTGCTATAAAGACACATGCACACGTATGTTTATTACGGCATTATTCACAATAGCAAAGACTTGGAAACAACCCAAATGTCCAACAATGATAGACTGGATTAAGAAAATGTGGCACATATACACCATGGAATACTATGAAGCCATAAAAAATGATGAGTTCATGTCCTTTGTAGAGACATGGATGAAATTGTAAATAATCATTCTCAGTAAACTATCGCAAGAAGAAAAAACCAAACACAGCATATTCTCACTCATAGGTGGGAACTGAACGATGAGAACACATGGACACAGGAAGGAGAACATCACACTCTGGGGACTGTTGTGGGGTGGGGGGAGGGGGGAGGGAGAGCATTGGGAGATATACCTAATGCTAGATGACGAGTTAGTGGGTGCAGCGCACCAGCACGGCACAGGTATACATATGTAACTAACCTGCACATTGTGCACATGTACCCTAAAACTTAAAGTTTAATAATAATAAATAAATAAATAAATAAATAAAAACGATAATAGAAAGGCACAATGCTTTAATCTAAACATATGTGTTGAGTTTCACATGATTACGGTGCTTTCATGTGGGAGGAGTCAGTGCTTAGGGGAACTCAGGAAACAGTTTAGGCTTAGTAACATAGATGCAGAGTTGGGCCTAAGTCTCAGGCATTCGCAAAAACCCTGTTTAACAGAGTTGACTATAAACTCAGAGAAACTGAAATGAACCTAGGCAAGTTAAAGAGATGTGGCAAGGCAAGATTTCTTCAAAAAAATATGCAGTGTAGCTTTTGGAACTTTAGGACTTCAGGTTCTTTGTGGTTTCAAGATTTCTGTCAACAATGAGGGGACACAGCTTAATAAACCTGATATAACCAAACTGACCCTGATATCTAATTTATCCAGCCATTTTCATCACTCATTTATCCAACGAAAATTACTTTTTTACTTCCTATGTGCTAAGGAATATAAAAATAAACTAGAGAAATTAACCTCTAGTTTTTAATGTTCTTAAGGCTATATAGATAAACATTAAATAAATAAAAGATAATTTCTGATATAAATTCATGGTAGAAAATAAGACAGGGTAATTGGACAGAAAGTGACTAAGGATAGTAACATTAAATAAGATAGACATACATCAGTGAAAGTACATTCAACTGCAAGAAATGAAAAAAAATACAAGTAAAATAATGACACTAATTCTAAGGTCAAGGTGGACTTCAGGACTACTTCAAATCGACAGCTTAATGATAACTTCAAGGGGCTCAGATTTAGTATTACTTTCTTTCTTTTCTTTCTTTTTTTTTAGATGGATTCTCACTCTGTCGCCCAGGCTGGAGTGCAATGGCGTGATCTTGGCTCACTGCAACCTCTGCCTCCCAGGTTCAAGCTATTCTCCTGCCTCAGCCTACCGAGTAGCTGGGATTACAGGCATCTGCCAGTATGCCAGGCTAATTTTTGTATTTTTAGTAGAGAGGGGGTTTCACCACGTTACTCAGGTTGGTCTCGAACTCCTGACCTCAGGTGATCCGCCTGCCTTGGCCTCCCAAAGTGCTGGGATTGCAGGTGTGAGCTACTGCTCCCGGCCTACTTTCATTTTAAAGTAGATTTTCTGTTACTGTGGGTCTATCAAACACTTCCCGCACTGTATGTTTCCTTGATCTTGACTAAGTTGAGAGACAGAGAAAGAACAAGATAATTAAAGTCTTGTCTTTAAAATTTTTAAAAAGTTATTTCTGTGAAGACCCTAGCATATGTTTGCCTAGATCACATGGATCTGAAATCGGGCATTCTGAAAAAGAATGACTGTGATGAGAATTTAGTGTAATTATGATGAAGTTAGAAAGAAAAATCATCATCGTTAGCCTAGAGTGAAGTCAAATTTCCACAAAGTAGAGATGGGTACTGGAAACTATATTTAAGTTAAAAGCAAAAAGGGAATTGCTATTGTGACAGCAACTGCTATGCTCACAGTGAAAGGTGGTCAAGGTTACCTGAAGAGGTGACATATAAATTAAGATCTGAATTACAAAAAGGAATAAGTCATGTAAATATGAGTTAAAAGGGGCAGAAAGAAGAGTTATTCTCATCAATAAGGTAAGAAAGAATTTGGTGTTTTGAGTAACCCAGCAAAGAGCAGTACAGTGAGTGAGAGAACAAAGTCAGAGGAATAAAATGAAGTTGGAAATGCAGGAAAGGCATAGGTCAAAGGAGCCATAGCAAGTTGGGATTTCTATCCTCTTTGTAAGAAGAAGTCACTGGATAGTTTTAAGTGAACAATAATAGGAGCTAACAGGTACTTTTAATAGATCACTTTGGCTGTTCTATGGAAATAGTGACAAATCCCAAATGCCGCATACTGCTTGAGAGGTGAAATAATCATCTGAGGAGTGACCATATTCAGAAAACAAGAATAAAAAAGAAAAAATAGCTCTTCTGAAATTATTTTTTCTATTATTTTTAGCTTTTAGAAATAATATTGATTTTTTAAATTGTAAACAGCCTCTCTCATTCCATACAAAATCAGTGTTAACTAAGTATTAAAAGAACTTGTGTTGAAAATCTAAGTATACAAGTCATGACTTATTTTCTGCATGAGTCCAGGTTTTTTAATAGAGACCTATAAAAATCTAACTTTTCCATGTTTCAACATGTGGTTACATATAATTAATACAATATAATATAATGAAAATGCAAGAAATTACCTCTCATTTTTATGTAATGGAATTCATTTTAGATTTCCCCCCTGTAAACACCTTGCAACAAGACTCAAACTGGGAATTAAAATCAACAGAGACTGCTTTGAAGTCATCTTGTCATTACAAGAACAAATATAAACAGCCTACCAATTAGAGATTTACCATACACTTGCCAGTGATACTAAAAGGATTAGCTCAATGTAATTTGATTTTTCTAAAGTCTCACAACCAGATATCTACTCTAGATAAATTATCAAGGAGAAACTAGTTTCCTTCTAAAAAACACATAGATGCTTAATGGTGTAGTGACTGAAAATGAATATAATGGAAGCCAGGTCACTTTGAGGACTTTTGTGTGTCTTTTAAAAATAGATTTAAGATTTAGACTTTGCAGAATTTTGTTATAAAAATGTAGCACTCTTAAGATTATTTTATAGTACTTTACTTAAATTGATTCACACAAAATATTTTGTTAGTATAAAACATAAATTCAGATTATATACCCACATAATTTTAAAACTTGTATTAATTGGTTATATAAAAGATTCCTTTTTAACCAAAAACATAAATAATTTATAATTGGAAATTAAGTGATTGTTAGTACTAAAATATATTATTAAATATATACTTTAAATATTACTGAAAATACAATACCCTTTAATGATAATATAATTTTTAGATTTTCAAAATAAAAAGAATCATAAATCGAACTAGAAATAACTAAGTAAACAAGGCAATAATGTTTTAACTTGTATTAATTCAACAATAGTTTACATATAATAAAATATTTAAATTAAACATTTAGCAAAGTAATATTTTTATATTCAGCACACATGTTAGAATGAATGTATTGTACAAATCTGAAGTTCCTAGACTGTTCACACAACATAACTTTCCTATCACTGAAGTTGTCTTCGACACAGACTTCCACATTTTGCTGTTTTTGACCCAAGGATTTCCTTTTGTTTCCACATGCAGTTAATGTGTAGTAATAAAATGTAATGAGGGAAAAGCATGGTGATTAAGAATGAGTTGATATTGTAGACAAACCTACTAACTGCATATATATTTGCATGGAGTAAAATCAAACATACAGTAATAGAAACAGTGAGAAACACTCCTAAACAACTCTTCATAGATATTTCATACTTCTCTGGCTACTTTAAAACTACTCAATTTTTGACACTTACAATTAATTTACGAAGACCATCAGATGCCTTCATTTTACTTCATTATGATCATTTTGATTCAAGTTATGCTTCACTTTCTACCAGTCTTATACCAAGTTGGTAAAAAGTGGTGAAGTCTGAGGATTCACTTAATCTTGAATCATTCTAAACATTGTTTAAATGTTTACAAAGTATATAGGAACAATATCTCATTAGTATAATAATTTTGCAACACTATCTCTATGTATTTGTAACTTGAGAATAATATTGAAATAGTAATTGATTCTACATTGGTTGTGTGGTTAAATGTCAGAAGTTTGTGTCAGACAGACCTGAGTTCAAATCCCCAATGCTTCATGTAGCCATATACTCTGTAGCCGCTCACGTAACTTATGTTGTCTCAATGTTTTCATGAGTAAAATGGGGGTGAATTCTAGATACTACAGTAAGTGATGAAAAAGAACATAAGGCATTCATACTGAAATGGAAAAATAAAATTTTCTCTATTTGCACACCTCACAGTATAAGACCCAAAGAATTTACTAAAAAAAAATAAGTAAGCTTAGCATCAATAATTGAGTTTGGCAAGACTGTGGGATTCAGCTAATATACTAAACCCAAATTTATTTATATGCACGGCAATGAACAAATAGGAAACTACTTCTTTTAAGTGACATTGAAAATAGCAACCAAAACCCAATAATGCTTATTCATAAATATAATAAAATAACTGAAATATCAATTTGCTGAAAACCAAAAGTCATTGGTAAGAGGAATCAACAGATCTAAATAAGTGAAGAGATATATTGTGTTCATGGTCTGGAAAACTCAGTATTATTGCTTTGGCACAAATTGACACATAAATTATATTAATTCATAATGAAAATACCAGGAGAATTTTCCTGTAGACTTCCACTAGATAGTTTTATATTTGTTTGGAAAGTTAAACAAACTGTAATTGCTAAAGTATCTCTGAAAAAAAAGTAAAGTTGAAGGGCACTCTTACTGATTTCAATAAATACTATAAATATAATTAGTAATGACAATATTGCATTGGAAAACGGAGAAACACATAGCTCAATAGAATAGAATAGTTAATTGATTTTTGGCAATGGTGCAATGGTAATTTAGTGGAGAAATGCAACATTCCACAAATGCTGCAGGAACAATTGGACCCCTATTTGCAAGAAATATAATCACATCTTCTATTCATACCTTGCATTATACATTATGGTCAAAAAAGTTTTCCAATGTTATAACACCAAAAAAGTGTAGATTTTAAATTTTTTTACATGGTTATTATTCATCATATACTATAAATCCCTTGAAGGCAGGGAAATAATTATTCACTTTAAACTTTCTTAAGAGATACTTAAAAATTTGGAAATAAAAAGAATGCATGAAGCAATAAACATTATTTTTAATTTGTATTAGTATAAGTTGCTTCTAAGTACCATTAATTTCAACATAAGGGTAAATATAATATAGTTTTTAAAAGTGAAGTTTATTGAAGTTTAATTTATATAGAGTAAAATTCACAGTTTTCAATATAGAGTTCAATGACTTTATTGCACGAAGTTGTGTAGTTATTGACATTATCAAGATGAAGAATCATTTTATAAACAAAGTAGATGCCCCTTTGCCTCTTTGTATTCAACTCTTACACATACCTGCTGAAAAGAATAAGTTTCCTGTTTCTATTGTTTTTCCTTTCCAAACCAAATAGAACAAAGTTCAATTTGCATAAACTTTTCAGTCCAATATTCATAATTTCTCCTAAAGCATTTGAGTTGCATGTAGTCACATATGTCAGCAATATTTCTTATATCATCAATGAGTAATATTCCATTGAATAGTTATAATACTATTTGTTTATCCATTCACCAGTTTAGATTACTTTTGTTTTTTTGTCAAATATAAGTAAAACGATTAAAAACCGTTGCTTGTACGCTTCATGTATGTGAATGTAAGTTTTAATTTATCTTAGATATATAACTACAAGTGGGACTACAGGATCATATGATAAGTGTATATTTAAATTGACAGAGATTGCCAAAAGTGTTTTTCAAAAGGCCTACCATTTTTCCTGTCACATATGAAAATTCCAGCAACATAAAAAATTTCTTGTTACTTTGCATTTTCAACAGCATTTGGTATTGTCAGTATTTCTTTGTTGTTGTTTTGTTTTTCCATGTTTATAGATAGATATGAGGTGGTATATCATTATGGTTTCAATTTGTACTTCCTTGATGACTGTGTATAGCATCTTTTCATTTATTTATTTGATTTCCACATGTCCTCTTTAGTGAACTCCTATTCAAACATTTTGTTCATTACTTGGCAGTCTTTATCAGATGTTTTAAAAAAATTATAAAAAATATGCTGTCTGACCTAAGCTAACTAAGATTATGATCTATTTTGAATTAATTTATTCATATATTCCAAAATTTTATTTAAAATTTTAATAATTTCTAGATGAAATTATGTTGTACTAAATGATTTGACAGTTGTTAAATTTCTTTGACAGACATGTCTATGGACATACCTCATAGGATACCACTGGTCCTTCAATAAGGATTTTGTTTAAAAATACTAAATTAATATTATATACATTTACTATAGATATTAGAAGGAACAGAGTGGAATGGACAGAGAGGTATGTCATTTGTAAACTTTGACATTCAGCAAGTCACTTAACCTGAGCCTTAAATTTTCATGTATGAAATGAATATAATATTTTAACGGCATCATTATAAAAGTTAAATATTGTATATGTACCCAACTAATGGTGGATTGCGTTATTTATTGAGCATGTATATTAATATTACATGTCCAATTTTAATAGCATTTCCATTGCTTTTCTTGTATTTTTGATTTTAATAAAGATGTAATTAAACAAAGTCAGAGACTTCCACTAAAATACCTGGAACAATTGATTAATAGTGTATCCTATACTCAGATATTTTTGCTAGCAAAACAATAATAATCATACTCACAATATTTTACTGTGCAATTCCATGAAAGGGACTTATTGCAAATATATTTAAGTGTACAAACTTACAGCCATTTTAAGAAAAATGTATGTAAATAATCACAAATATTTCAGTGAAGTTGCTCTTCTTGCTATTATTCTCCTTTTCTTCAGGGCCCTCTCCAGCTTTCACTTCTAAGACGCCGAAGTCCTTCCATTTCTTACATCTGTATGGAAGCTTCACTCTCACATTGTGTCCCAGTAAAATAATTTTTTCCTTTCAGTCTCTTCTTCTTCCACATTGTGATGGTAATTGGGTAGGTGAAGGGTAACTATTGCTTAAGAAACACTATTTTTTTAAAACTATGTATTTTCCTAGAAAGTTATCTAATTATCTATGGTACCAACCAATTCTCTGTTTAAAACATGAACTGGAAGCAAAAAAATAATAATATGCTTCTCTGTATGTGTGTGCATATGTGTGTGTATGAATATTAAGAGAGTTATAAAAATACATTTGAATAAGTATTTCTATATCTATGAGCTCTCTAAGCACCTATGAACTATAAGGTTTTACTTACACATAAAATATCTTTACTTACACATTGAATATCTGAGTTTCTAAACAACTATCAGCTAATTACTCACTTTTTTCACAAACGCTTGGCCTGTATCTTCCATATTTTAGAATATATCATGTATTTGTTAACCTGCGTAAAACAAATTTTATCTACACTGGAGTGCTTTAGTAAGTAGATAGACTATTTCAATGGGAAAAATATTATAATAATAGGACTATGAAAGCTTTCTGAAAAATAGAATATGACCTGGAAAGGGATTCCAGCTGAAGGAGGAAGGTGTGAGGTAAACACAGAAAGATAGGAATCTATATTCAGATATTTGTTTAAAAATCAGGTCTGAAAAGAACAAGCAAATGGCAAATAGTGGGGGTTAGATCTAAAAATAACATGTCTTTAACACATGATAAATGGGTTCAGATGCTAAATGAAGGAATTTATGATCCACTTTATTAGGCATTTAAAAGTTTTCGAGCTGGGGAAGACAGTTGAGCATTGACATACGCTATTACAAAGTCTTTGGGCAATTAGAATACACTATACTTCAGAGCATCCTATAGTGGAAGGAGGAGTTGACAGCCTGAATATTTAGTAATTATGATTATAACCATAAACAGCAACAAGTAGCCTTGCCTTGTACTTACAATCTGCAAAACGTTTTCCCACAAGTTGGCCCAGTGCAAATTCATATTGGAGGTATATTTCTTTTGTATTTAAAAAAAGACATGAAGTCATTTGCTCAAGGTCAAAGAAACTGAATATGGCAAAATTAGGATGGACACATGGTTTCTCCCAACTTTACCCCTAATTTATTCCCCATATCCACAGATTCTTCCACCATACTTATATTTTTAAAAAAAGATAATAAGTCTTGATTTTTTTTCTTCTCAAAATCTGTATTTGCTTTTCTGAAAAATGTTTCCAGAATGGAATTCTTGCTTTAGTCATTATGGCGGTAGAAGCATTTGTATCTTGGGACAGTATGGATAGCCAAGCATTTTAGCCAAAAATTCCACAGAGCAGCTGCTTCTCACAGGCTGGATGGTGGTAACATTTGTAGAAAAGCAACGTGTACAGATGAAACAATACAAATATTGTCAGGAACACTGTGTGTTGCAATTACGATGGCAGTCAGCCTTCTCCATGGACAGTTCTTGCACCTACAGAGTTTTATTCCTGTAACATGATTTTAAAAGCACTAGAAAATATTAAGTTCTCTGTAGAACTACGGAAAAAGGGGGAGCCACATTTATCTAAATCTTTTTCCTGACAGTGGTAACACATCTTTGAAAGTAGCTTTGGTCATATCTGACTTGATGTTTGTAGAATTTTAACTTAAGTGCCAGTTAAAATTCAAAGGTAGTTTTTAAAAACCAGTATCTGTTGAAAACATTAGGTATAACTTCATTTGCTTGGATTTTTCTCCTGGAAAATATCACCTCATAATTTTATTATTTCTTATGACAAACCTTTTGAAGGCATTTTCCCTAATCTATTGTGAAAAACACTGTGATTCAATATTACCTTGGTGCACATATATAGATTTACTATTACCTTGGCGCATAGATAGATAGATAGATAGATATAGATAAATTCAATATTACCCTGGTGCATATATATATATATACATACACATATTCATTATTACCTTGGTGCATATATATATATTATATATATATATATATATATTCAAGAAAGGAAATTAAAAGACAGAGTCAGAATACCTGCCAGATCTCAATGAAGATAGTGAAAATGATTTAGCATGACTTAGTACTTTTACTTAGGCCTATGTAGATCAGAGCTAGTCAACCTACTTACATATAATTTGAATAGTCAGCCAAATTTGGTGGATAGTTTGATAAATTCAGATTTCTATTGTATACGAAACTACTAGTTTTCAGAAGTTTAAGTTTACTTAGATTGTATATTCTGCTAGCAATACACATGCAAGTGACTGCTGAAGTCCAAAAACTTTTTAAGGGATTATCTATCACTTAGCATAATTACTAGAAATAAGTCTACTTTTCTCCTTTGTAGGAGGTATTATGTCTTTCCTACAGGTGACAGAGTTATAATTTGGAATAACAAATTTTGAATGTAGTAAAAGAAAAGTAACAGCTCCAATTTGTGTGTGTGTGTATACACATATTTTGACTCTTAGATAAAAGCTATGTGCCCAGTACTCAGTTCTGTGCTTTATCATTTCACACAATATTGATCAAATTGAGAAAAGTGAGAGGAGACTAATGGGAGTGAATGAATTTCAACTCTCACACTAAATTTCTTCAGTGTCATAACCTAAATGTGATCAACACAAGCAATATCACTGGGACAGAGGAAAATGATCTGATTGAATACAATTTTTATACTCTGCGAAAATTTGAACATTTGTAGAATTTTTGGTTATTTGGGAGAAAGATTAGTAGAGCTTTATGGTTGGAAGTAGCTGAAAATGTGGAGTACTTGGTTTTGAGAATTTTACTTGTTTTTCTCTCAAAACAAAGTGAAATTAAGAGAAATGGGGAGTACAGGTCATAAGATTTTCGGTGTGTCTCAACCTTTTTTTTTTTTTTTTAAATATAATGCAACTGCAAGGGAACAACTGGGTTAAATATTCAGCTTCTGAATTATAGCCCCCTGCCGTGCATTTTGTTCCCTCAGGACAAATGTGATCCAGTCTCAGCAAGGGTCCTGGATTGTATATGCAGCCTTTCCATTTTAGCTAGAATCTTGAGAAATACCTAGGAAGACAGATGATGGTCCAAGCAATGAGCCTAATATAGAAAATTTAGTAAAAGTATCCAGACAGAGAATAGACGCTTCCTAAAAATATTGAAACAGCAAAGTGCTATAAATGTTCATAGCAAAATGAAGAGATCAATAAAAATTTAAAATAATTTGAAAGGATCAAATCACAAAACAACCACTTCAAATTCTAACTTTCATCACTAAACAATATGATTTAAGCAATACACTTTCTTCATTTATATAAGTCATTAGAATCCCTGAACTTGACAACCATAGAAAAGTGGACCACAAATGTATATATGAACTGAGACAATCTGTCAATCATTTTTCAGTTTTAATATTTTGCAAAAATCCCCAGGAGTGGTATTATAATAGAGTAAATTCGGGTCCAAATTATAAAGTTGGCTCTTCCCATATGGAGGTGAAAACACTGGAACTAATGGTTTTATCTCTCACAAACTATTACAAACTAGTAGCAAGTCACAAGTGGGCAAATATACACAACACAAACATACACACAGTACGAAACATAAGCATAAGTATCACATATAGATGTGGGTCATAATGGCTAGTAAAAATAGCCTGGTGAGACAGAAGAAAGTAGTATATAGATTAATTCTTAGTATTGAATATAGTTTCCTACAGAGTCTCAAAATGTTGTACCAATGAGCATTTACTAATTCTCAAATCATTAGATATTGGTAGCATGTTTTCTTCTCTGTATTTTTGCTATGTTGAAAAAATGGGCTATTAAGAGATAATTTGGTGGTAAAACTAGGAAAGAGATATGTGGTTTCTGAGTATCTGCTGAGTACAGAAAGATGAAGATTTTATACCATTATATTATCACGGCTATCTGAACAACGTTTCTCACTTCTGTATCATTCACTGGTCTTAATGGAACGCCACCCTCTTCCTTACCTCTGATGCTCCTCACTAATTATCGCATGCCTATTCAATCTACAAAAAGCAATTTATGATCATCTGCACTAAGATGTCTCCTCACACCCAATAGCCCCAGTTCCTTCTTTAGATGGCTATTTAAAAATACTAGCTCTGGGCCGGGCACAGTGGCTCACACCTGTAATCCCAGCACTTTGGGAGGCCGAGGCGGGCAGATCACTTGAGGTCAGGAGTTCGAGACCAGCCTGGCCAACATGGAGAAACCCTGTCTCTACTAAAAATACGAAAATTAGCCAGGTGTGGTGACATGCACCTGTAATCCAAGCTACTCGGGAGGCTGAGGCACGAGAATTGCTTGAATCTGGGAGGCGGAGGTTGCACTGAGCTGAGATCATGCCACTGCACTCCAGTCTGGGTGACACAGTGACACACTGTCTCAAAAAAAAAAAAAAAATATATATATATATATATATGCATGCTAGCTCTGACTTCTCTATCACCAGAGGGAGAGTGCTCATCAATTGCATTAAAATAATCAAGAATTATGTTAGTATTATTAGATGGATAAATGTGCCCCTGGAAGGGAGACTTGCTTGTAACAGGTTTTTAATCCATTTGTGCAAAATGTCCCAGCATTGGTTAGACCTGATGTACCATTCTCTTTGCTGTCTCCTTCATTATGGCATTTGTAACTCTCTGCTTCGAAATGTACCCCTGTGAAGTTAGAAAATCCTAATGAGAGTGATTTCTTTGTCAAATAAAGATGCTCAAATACAATGAACTGTCTTTTTCCTGTGATGATTAATAGTTTTTCATTAAAGCCCTTTTTAATTATATTGCTTTTGTGACATGCAAATTTTTTCCATGAAGTCCACCTTTTCCTTATGCTTTAATATGACTGGGGGAGGGGAATTTGTGCTACTCTTTATAAATTTGCTTTAATAACAGAAATAATCAACATTTATATACTAAATATGTAAACCTCCTTGAAAGGTCATCTTTGATTTTTTTTTCAATAATTGCTGTCGGAACTTTGTTTAGTGAATATTCTTTGCAGTGTTTGCTTGCAACATCTACTAGTTTGGGCCAATAAAAATACTCACATATTTTTGCCATTTTATTCTGATTCTCCAAAGATAAATAATATGGTTGGCTGCATTTGTATTACCTTTTCAAAAAATCAATTGCCATTTAAATGTTGATACAGAAATTTATTTCACTAATGTTTTTCAACTAACTACTCTTTCAAACACTGTGCTAGGCACTTAGTGTTGCAGTGAACAAACTGAAAAACTTTTTTCTTCCATATTAGCTTACATCCAGGGGAAGATAGAGACAATAAATAATTAACACAAATAATAAATTCTCCTTGGCCCACCTGTATTAAACAGGGGCTTAGAAACTTGGTTTCTGAAAACAAAACAAAACAAAAACCTATCAAGCAGTTGTTGACTGTAGATGCTTTTTGTTTAAGTCTTTAGATTTACTTTTTCTTATTTTCCTAACTGTATTTTCTTGATGAACAACAATAATGTTTTCCACATGATTACACACACACACACACACACACACACACACACACACACACACATACATAATATTCTCTAGTCTGAGACTAGATCTGTTTTCTAACAGAGTTTAGTATCTACTTATATCATAAAGCATATAAACATATTTAAAGCTATAATAAGTTGAAGTTCTGTGCTTTTGAGTGGCTCTTAAAGTATCCTAAATACTAAGAGAAAATTTATTTCAAATGTGTGGTGTATTTGTGTGTGTTTAGCTCCAAGAAACATTACCATTTAATAAGCAGCTACCTGGTATAAGAGAACTAAAGATATTTTCCCACCAATGGAAAATTAATAATATATTGTGTTTACATTGTTTATTCCCTTTCCTCATGCAGAGAGACCCCCATTCTCAAAAAAGTGCCTAAGTAATTAAACTGATAAGATGAAGAATGTAGTACCTATTTACATCTGTGTTAGGTTTACCTTTGGACTTGGAAAACCCTTTGGTAGCCTTTTGGGTTTTGCACATTTTGCCATCTTTGCCATAGCATTATGGCCTATTATCACTGCCATCACCAAGGGGCAAGATAGTAATGCTGAAAGTAGCATTTAGTTTCTGAAGAAATGAGTTATTAGAGAAGATCATGAGCATCAACACAAGGTAGAAATGTTAACAGGTTTTACTAAAGTCATGAAATAGAGATAACCGCAAAAATGCAATTCTTTTCTGAATGAAGTGACAATGGAAAAAAAAAAACAGCTGGAAGTTACGAATTTCCTAATAATCCTGCACCTGTCCGCAACAGAAATAAAAATAGATTGTAGAATTTCAGAACTCAGAAAAAGAGAACTAAAACTATTTCAAAGCAAATTTTTAGAATTAGATTTTAACGTGAGAGAGAAGCAAAAGAACATGTGTATATTTCTTTAAAGTTATTTGGTATTTTAAACAGAAATGTAATTTATTATTTAGTTTTCAATAAAGAATTTTTGCTAAGGTGGAGCTATAATATAATTCAACATAACATTTTAAGGGATTTCATGTCAGATTTAAAGAGATTGAGAAGGGATTGAGTGAGTATTATAATTGTTGGAATGTTGGAGCTCACATTCTAGGAAAAACTAAAAGAATGGCCCTATTATTTCTGAAACAAGCCTACGATCTTTTATATAATTATTTATGTACAGTGAAGGCGACTGTCCCTCCCAAAAAAGCAAAGTATTTGACATGATGGTTGAAATTGATTCACATACAGAATTAATTAAATTATTGGAATTTCATCGATTGTTAAGATAATAAAACCAAAGATTCTTTTTTTCTATTTCTAATTCTTAAGAAATTTTATTTTCTGGAGGGCTATTAGAAAAAAAATTCCATCAATCTCATTTAAAAATAAGGGCTTTCCAATGTGTTTGTTTTTGTTTTTGTTTTGAGATGGAGTCTCGCTCTGTTGACTGGGCTGGAGTATAGTGGCACGATCTTGGCTTACTGCAAATTCTGCCTCCCATGTGCAACTGATCCTCCTGCCTCAGCCTCCCAAGTAGCTGGGATTACAGGCACGTGCCATCATGCCTGGCTAATTTTTGTATTTTTGTAGAGACAGAGTTTCACCATGTTGGCCAGGCTAATCTTGAACTCCTGACCTCAGGTGATCCACCTGCCTCGGCCTCCAAAGTGCTGGGATTACAAGCGTGAGCCACTGCACCCAGCCTCTAATATTTTAAGACACAAAGTTTGAGTGTAGTTTGTTAACAATAATAGATAATCACAACACATGGTAGAGAATGGAAAAGAACATGTAATGGTAACATAAAACTTGCTAACAAGAATTACAAATTAAAATAAAGGACATTCTAGCTTTGCTTTTATAAGGGAAGAACTGGATATTAGGTGAAGATATAAAATTGACAGGGAGAAAAACTACATTTTAGAACTCAAACGTAAAAAATTATAATAACTATCTTACATTGAGGACTTACTTTGATTTCATGAAAGAGATTTTTTTAATTTTAATTTTTTAATTATCTCATTTAATTCTCATTTTTAATTTTTTATCTCATTTAATTTTTAATTTTTAAAAAATTAAAAAAGTGTTTAAATTTTTTATCTCATTTAATTCTCACAAAGTTTGAAGCATGTACTATTAATATTCCTGTTTTACAGATGAAGTAACTGAACATGGAGGAACTGGCAGTTAAGAATGGCAGAGCTGGGGTCATTCCAGCCCAGATATTTTGAGCACAGAGCCTTTCCTCTTTAACCAATATACTGTAACAGTTTTATATGATATGATTAAAATTGTTAAATATGTATATATATACACACAAACATATGCACATGCAAACACATATACACATACATACATATAGAGGCTGAGTTATCATGGTCTTATTTTCCAAATTCTCTACCTAATAAATGTATCAAAATATTTATAGAGCATTTAATATGATAGAAAGTCAGTGGTGAAGAAAACAGCCAAGGTCTGGAATGCTATCTTAACAATTGCATCAGAGAGACTCTTGCAGAAAGGCACTAAATTAGTTTAGGCATTGAGCTCTCACTTAGAACACAGAAGAATATTACAAGGATGTCAGTCTAGTGTTGTATACATGAAAGCAATTTTAATATGCTAATTTTCAAGGAAAAATTTTAATAAGTGTGAAGAGCAACAGTGAATATCAAATCTGCAGCAGGCATATAATATCCTACAACTTCTTCCACTTTAATCACTAGCAAGACAAAAAATTGTCAGCATCTTCAGCACTACAGTGGAATCCATTTCCTTCCTAGCCCTGGCCTTGTTTATTTTGCTCATTATTCTTGAGGACTTTCCACAGAAAAAAGAAAAGAAAGAGACAATCCATTTAAAGTGTATTTCCTGTAACTCCTCCTTTTTTGATTCTCATTTTTGTTCTGTTTCATATACCCCACCCTAAGTGTTACAATTGTCTCTTTCTGTGTGTCAAATTAGCCCAAAACTAGTGATGACTTAGGAAACAAAGATGATGTTTTTTGCTCAAGAATTTGCAATTTGAGCAGCACATGATAAGGAAGGTTATTAGCTTGGGCAACAAAACTGGAATTGGAAGATCCATTTTTAAGACTTCTCAGTCACATAGCTGGCAAGAATGTGCTGGCTGTTCAGTACAGTGGCCCCCCTTCCTCACAAACACTTTTCTCTGGGACTACCTAGATTTCCTCGTAGCATTGTGACTGGGTTCTAAAACACAGTAACAGGAACGTAAAACATGTGACACTATTCAGAGCCAGTGGTAGCTCCCATTTTTTGAGGCCTGGGGTCAAAAATTGGCAGTGGGCTGGGCACGGTGGCTCATGCCTCTAATCCCAGCACTTTGGGAAGCCAAGGCAGGCAGATTGCCTGAGGTCAGGAGTTCAAGACCAGCCTGGCCAACATGGCGAAATCCTGTCCCTACTGAAAATACAAAACCTTAGCCAGGTGTGGTGGCAGTTGCCTGTAATACCAGCTACTCGGGAAGCTGAGGCAGGAGAATCACTTGAACCTGGGAGGCGGAGGCTGCAGTGAGCCAAGATCGTGCCATTGCACTCCAGCCTGGGCAACAAGAGTAAAACTCTGTCTCAAAAAAAAAAAAATATGGCAGTGGATTGCTTTTATCATATTCTAATGATTAAGTAGTCATGGAGTCCACCCAGACTTACCTGTAGAGTACATAGACCACTCATTTTGAGGAAAAAATATCAAAGCATTTGGAGTGTAATCTATTTTAGTCCACACTAGTCACAAACTATCTACCTTTTTGTTTGTTTATTTTACACTGACCCTAGCCAAGGCCCACCCACATTCCATCTCATTAAATCTAGGATATTGTTGTCTAAATCAAATTCAGATATGGATGAACCTTCTTGGGTGCAGTTCATATTAATATAAAAACAGGTGAATTAAAGTAAACTGTTGTCTGCCATCCCCACACACAACACAAAGTGTTGAAATCCTGGGGAAGTAAGTTAATCATGATGTTTACTACCATTCCAAAAAGGGGTAGGGAGGGAAGACAAAGACATATAGTACTCATGGGTCCATACAAATTCCTAAATTCATCTGGTTGCATGTTGTCCATTTTTTCAGTAGGGCCCAGTCCCACTATCTATGATTGTTTGTAGGTATTGACTTGGCTGTAGAAGATTTTCCTTCCTTCTCCTAAGTTATATTTCCTTTCCCACAAGAAATGGCCCCCATGTTTGCAACTGAATAGCCATTTTAGTCTACTCTCTGTCCAAAGAATGTAGGGAATCCAAAGGCCTTTTATTTATTTATTGACTTATTTATCTACTTATTTAAATTTTATAATCTCTCTTTCCCACCCAGTCCAAGAGGGTACAATTCAAAGGTTTTAGGTTTTTCTTATGGCAACACATCACATTCAGGGACAAAAAAAGAATTTTGCTTATCTATTGCCATGTAAAAACAATCAATCTGGAGTGTGGGCAGGTTTTCCTAGAGACAACAACACTTTGCTTGATGGGGTGTCATCTGGGACAGGTTGCTTTAAAGATAGCTCAATCACAAGGGCAGGAGATATAAGCTGGCTGTTTTCTGGGAACTCAGCCAGGTATGTAGGCTTGAGGCCCTCCTTCATTCTCTACATGAGCCTCTTCATGTGAAAAGCATTTGGTCTCTTTTTAGAGTATGGTAGCTCATTTCCAAAATTGAATTTTCTAAGACACAAGAAGTAGAAACTCAGCTTCTTGAGCTCCTAAAACTACTCTGGCAACAGTTCTGAAACTGACCTGTGAATAGTAAATAGCATCACTTCCGCCATACTCTTATTAGTCAAGGAGTCACAGAGCTCACTCTGTTATAAAATGATGGTACCTAGACTCTGCCTCTTAGAGGTAAGAGTATCCAAAAATTTGTGGTTATCTTATTTTATGCCACTAGTTGAGATTATTTCAATTTTCCTGTAAAACTTTTATATCTGCAGGTTTCTACAACTTTAATACATTCCATCTTTTCATCTTTATAATTCTATCTGCTTCATTGTAGTGCTAAAGCCTCAATGAGGTGAGCTTGTATTCTAGTTTGGACAATTACAAACTGTATCTCTTCACTGGGATTGAATCCAGCCTGGGCATATGAATCTGTCAAAGCCAAAGTAAATAATACTAAAAAAATGTTAATCAAATATTGGAAAAGATGTTCTATGCAGTATAACCTGTGTGTGGGATTTCTTTTTCTTCCTTCTTTCTTTCTATTTTCCTTCCTTCCTTCCTTCTTTTTCCTTTTTTATTTTACTTTTCAGATGGAGTCTCACTCTGTTGTGCAGGCTGGAGTGCCATTCTCTTGCCTCAGCCTCCCGAGTAGCTGGGATTACAGGCACACACCACCACGTCCAGCTAATTTTTGTATTTTTAGTGGAGACAGGTTTCACCATGTTTGCCAAGCTGGTCTCTGAACTCCTAACCTCAAGTGATCTGCCTGCCATGGACTCCCAAAATCCTGGGATTACAGGCGTGAGCCACTGCACCTGGCCTTTGTGTGGGATTGTTAAAAACTATTTCTGTAACTAGTTGTGGCGTCTATCTGAAAATTATAGCAACGCAAAGTTGAGGCTAGAATTTATTGTGTCAGCATCTAGATCCAACTATGCATGAAATAAAACTTCACTGTAGATTCTTCCATTCTGTGAATATATATATTTACGTCGTGATAGTTGGTTAAGCTTGCTTGAGCTGGATTTTCTTTCACTTTGAAGAAATGAGCCATGACGGTAGATCTTTTTCTTCTTGCTCTCTATCTCCAACATGTTTACTTACAATAACGTTTTCAAAAGTGTTTCAGAAGATGTATAAAATTTGCTTAAGTTTCACTGCAGCCTACATCTTCAGCCTCATTTTTTCCTGTACCCATTCCTTGCCCCTAAAGTACAGCTATATTGAATTGCATGAAGTTTTAATTATTCAATGTATTTTCCCAAATTTCACCTTTCACTCAGACAGCTCTATTCTTCCTATGCATAAGACAAAAACTTACTTACTCATTTTTTAAACTTTGGCTCAAATATCAGTTGCCCGTGAAGCAGTTAATACCCCACAAAGGGGAGTGGAGCATTTCATCTATGTCACTTTATTATAATTCTGTATGTAAACTACACTTTAGATAGCACACCTAAAGTGTTTTTATTACTATCATTTCTTCATGTATATATTCCTTTACTAGATTCCATTCTTCTCCTAGAGAAAGAGACAATATGTAATTAATTTGTTCTTCCCCTATACTAAGCATATAAATTCAACATATTTGAATTTACACTAAAATATTTTAAATGAATAAAAGATTAGTTGGTGAAAATTATGGTAACCATAAGGTTTTAAATATTTCTTTTTTAAATTTCATTTGTTGACATCTTGGAAGACAACTTTTTTTCTTATTTTTTGTTTCTGATTGCTATAATGCTTTCATGCATGGAATAAATTCAAGGTGAAAAATAGAGTTAGCAATGTTTGGCAATACTTTATATATACACTATATATATATATACACGCACTAGGAAATTGTAGAAATAAAATAATGTTTTAAAAATGTAAGTATGTCATGAAAAACTAAAAATTATTGGTTTAATATTAACAGAGGAGTGGAATATTGGCTCATAAACCAAATTCTTGTTTCCCTTTCTTTTCAAGAGACTCTCTAAAAATTATATTACCTTACATGCCCCATTTTTCTTTCTAATCTCAATAATTTCAGTTGCTATATCTTTTATTTGTATATTTTTAAATTTAGTATTTTTTGCAGTCTTACACATATCAAATTTTATATAGTCATTATAAAGTTAAGTGCTTCAGATAATATGTCTCAAATACTAGTAGGACTAATATCCATTATAGTGGGAAAATAATAAAACTACATTCATGTCACTTTTTGATTTAGATATTTAGATGACAATGTTAAAACAAGTAAAGTTACTGCATTAAGACTAATAGAAATGCTGCAGATTTTTGTGAGGTGATTGAAAACATCTGCACCTGCACTGTTGTATGTCTGGGATTAGTTTTATAAGTCTGCATTTAAATATTGACAAATGTTATGACTTCAGAGAGAGAAAAGAAGCAGAGGACAGGGCTTAAGGAAAAGATTAGACATTCGTCTTTGTTATAGAGTATTTGATGTGATAGAAAGACACTTAAGTAGAGATGTCTGGGAGACAGAGAGAGATAAGAGACTAGACAGAAAGAGATCAGAAACAAGAAAGACTGTTCTATCAGAATAGATAGAAAGCTGTGGGGAAATGAAAGCTCTAACTATTATGATTATAGAGAGGTAAGAAACCTGAGAAAGTACATAAAACATAAAAGAAATTACCAGTGGCGCCCATCAAAGCAGACTTTTTGCTACTAATATCATTTGTATAGCTTTTTGTGATTTATGAAAAGCCTTCACATGTATTATATAATTGTGATAACATTTGCAAGAGTGACAATTACCATACTTTTGTAGACACCAGTGGTCTGGTCTATTGATTTAGTGGCTATATTTTTAATAAGGTAGAAGTGTCTTTTAAGAGGTCCCAGACCTATCTATTCAATAAACATTATGATAGGCAATATATTTGAATAAAGGCAGTACAACTTTTTCTTCATTTAACATCCTCCTCCCTCAGCCAAATAATTAGCCAAATTCCCTCATTTTGTCTGTCTGACAGCCTAAGCTTCTTTGTCCATCTCCACTGTAAACAGCAATTGTCAAATTTTCCCCACATTTCTGAGCAAACCTCATTTTCACTCATCCAAACCTCTCAACTACAATAATAACAGCAAGCAATTATATAACAATTAAATTCCCTAGGACTACTCTGTATTTTTGAAAATGATGAATTAGGATTGAAAAACTACCTGTCAGATACTATGCCTAGTACCTAGGTAATAAAATAATCTATGCTAAGATCCTGTGACATGCAATTACTTATACAGAAAACCTGCACATGTATGCACGAAAGTAAAATAAAAGTTAAAAAAAGAAACAACTATGTAGATATAGTTATAGAAATATATGTATATGTATACATATATATCCTAAGTAACTCTTCTAATAAAAAAACAGTGTCAGTAATAAAAAAGAATACCACTACAGATCTCAGAGATGTTAAAAATGACAAAATAATACTGTATAATATATTTTTAAGAATTATACTGCATTTAAAAATGTAATTTAAAGGGACAAGTTTCTATAAATAATTCTAATTATCAAAGTAATACTCAAGACACAGCAACAAAACAAAAAAGGGGTGCTTATTTTCACCACTTTTATTCTACGCCACACCACATCATTAATACAAGAAGCAAATAACAACAAAGTATTAAGATTTCAAAAGAGAAAACTAAAACAACTGTCATTACTTTAAAAAATATGATTATATAAGTGAAGATAAAGTAATAAAACTAATGGCAGAATTTAGTAAATATGTTAAACGTAAAGTCAATTTGCATAAATTTCAGTCATAATGCTCTACATTTGCAATATTTTTAATAGAAAAATTAAAATGTAAAACAATTTTAAATTGCTTGAAAATTATAAAATACCCAGAAATAATTTTAACCAGGGTTGGACACATCCTCTACATGATTCCAAACCATAACAACCCTGAATAATTCTATTACCATTAAAATTATTAGATCAGTTACTACAAATATTAGGAAAACAACTATAGCCAAAATCATTTTATGTCAAGTTCCAAAAAATGAATTTATCCAGGACAGTATAAAATATTCTAGAAAAAGTTAAATAATATCAAATTTAATGAAGACACGAACCATGCTCATGCACTGAACAACTCGATATTATTATTATGCTTATTTTCTACAAATTGATCTATAATTCCAATGCAATGCCAATAAATATCTCAACAGTTTCTATGTGGTTTTACTTGTTTATATGCATATGTATGCCAGTAAAACTGAAAATTCTGATTCTAAAACTTCATGGAAATGCAAAAGACCAAAATGTTGCATTTTGAGAGAGAGCAAGGTTGGAGGAGTTACTCTACTCAATAATGACCCCTGTGAAGCTGCATAAATCAAGGCAGTGTAGTATTCATGCAAGTAGAAACATAGCACAAAGGGACTCAATAGAAACCCACAGGCAGCCCTAAACGTATGGACACTTTATGAAAAATAAAGTGTATAAAATATTTTTAAAGTAAGTATCAGCATAACTCATTGGCCTTATTAAAAGAAGAAAAAGGAGGAGGAGGAAGAACAAAAAAAGAGGAGAAGAAAGAAGAGAATAAGGAATTTAAAAAAGGAAACTGACTCCAAATTTTACTAAACAAATAAACAAACAATAAAAATGAATCATATACTTAAACAATGACGCTTTAACCACATAATATAGAAAATGTTTTTATGTCCTCAGAATACAGGAAGCTTTCTGCTGCAGACCTTTAAAACAGAAACCATGAAGTAAGAAGCTTCATAAAAAATAAGCATTTTAGAAAAGACCTTGTGTTTGAGGAGAGGCACCTTGACAGAAATGGCCAATGAACCTGTAAAAATGTTTTCAACTTATTTAGTAATGAGAGAAATGCAAAATAAAACCAAAAGGTAAAGCTATTACACACCCAACAGATTAGCAGACATTTAAAAATCTGCGAATTCCAGGGGTCGGCTATTGTTGGAGTAAAAGGACCTCTCATAAACTGCCATCAGGGGTGAAAACTGGAACCACATTAGAAAATGATTCGTCATTACCAGTAAATGTGAAGATGTGAATGTTGCATTATCCAATCATTCCAATCTTAAATATACACAAAATATTGGTACATTCATATGTATGAATGTGTATATATATATATACACACACTATATATATACACACACACACACATATATATGTATACACACACTCACACACCAGATTCTTATAAAAAATATTAATGGCATGTGCATAGAAAATGATTTGTCATTACCAGTAAGTGTAAAGATATAAATGTTGTATTATCCAGTCATTCCAATCTTAAATATACACAAAATATTGGTACATTCATATATATATGAATATATATATACACACACACTATATATATATATATACACACACACGTATATATGTGTACACACACACACCAGATGCTTATATGGCATGTGCATTAAATACAAATTATTTACTTTGTGTTTGATTTTTTAAGGGACTCATAGTCCTCAGTTTATACTGATAAAAAACTGTTCCAGGCAAATGCAGGGGAAATATATACATTGAAAAGGGTCTGGGGATCTTAGGAGTAAACTTTTTTGTTCTCTCACCATTGCATTACACAGGAAATGCTTGGTCTTTAGGTCATCAAGTGCCATAACAAGCATCAGTATATCTTGGTACCAAGAAGCCAACGGTCTGTTCATGGTGATTCTTATGGTGAGCTGGTCACGTAGTCAAATTTCAACTACATGACCAAAGTTAATTGTCAAAATCCTGCACACTCTACAAAATCCAGGTACAAATCATTTACAACAATGCTGACAAGCTGGTATTTCATACTTTGTGAAATAGCTCACAGACCAATGGTTAGAGAACAACATTTATCTTTGGTTAACCTATTTTATTGCATTGGTGAAGAGTCAACATCATGTTCTACACAGCCCTGAGGATAGACATTCAGTAAATCTAGACAAGTTGAGATGAAAAATGCTATGCAGAAAGATTGGTGATAGTACAATGAAACTAGAAGCAACCCAAATGTTCAACAGTAGAATATTTGGCATATTTGTACAACAGAACACTGTATAGCAACAGAGGTAGATGAATGACAAATGTGCAACTTGGGTGTATCCTAAAACTTATGTAAAGTTAGCCAGATACAATAAAATGTTTCCTATGTATGTTTACATTTATTAAATTCCAAATAAATAAATAAAACTTTACCTGGGTAATGATTATTCAAGTTCATATGTTGTATATATTATTTATGTTTATGTTTGCTGTAATTCATAATAATATTTCAAAAAGTCAAAATGCAGAACTATACATCCCATCTTCTGTGGAAAAGTAAATACATTAATATATATTCTTCATTTGATTTTATACACATAAAATGTCTTTATAAAGACACACAAGAAACAAATAATGTTCATTAACTGTATATGGAGAACTTGTGCTGTTACACAACAAGTGGCTAAAAACAGAGAGATTTCTTACAGTTTTCTATTTTATATTATTTGGATTTTTATTCATGTGAGTATACTACATATCAAAAATAAAACCTATCAGCAAAAAATACCAAAAAACAAAATGAACATGTAAGGTAAAAATCCTACCATTTTGAGAAATCTGACATTCTCAACATAGAAAGGGATTATTAATTAGAACAATGATAACACTATGTGACATTCTCGGTAAGTTATAATATACCACATTTTATAAGTGCCTAATAAGGCATATATTTCACTTCTATGAGACAGGAGTAAAAAAAGACAGAAAACTACCTCTATCAAGCTTTCATCTAAGGAAGAAAACCAACCAAGTAATTAAGAAGGGAAAAGGTAAAAGACTTAGCAGACGCTACACAAAAGAAGGTACAAAAATAGCCAGTGATCACAGAAGAAAAGGTACTCAGCACCATAAAATTATTAGAAAAATTAATTAAATCCATAATAAGATACCACTTTAACTCACGTTAAAAACAAATAAAGTGGACAACAGCAAATGTTGCTGAGGATGTGGAGCAAGTGGGACTCTGATACCTTGCTGGTGGGAATGTAACTAAATAAGATAACTGTTCAGCTACGGAAAAGAAGACAGATATATATTTTAAATGCACTGGAATTCATATAGCAGCCTTACTCATGGAAGCCAAAAATTGGAAACCATCCAAGTGTCTCATAGTACTACTCCTTTCTTCCCTCAAAAGCACCCTTGCCTCTCGCAGGGCTTGGTTCAAATATCAACTTCACAGTGAGATCTATCCTGCCATAAAATTGCAGCCAGGCACTCCTAATTTCACAATACCTACTCACTTTTTATTTTCTGCGTTGACCTTTAATATCTTAGATCATTTACAGATTTATTGTGTTCATTGTTTATTATCTATCATCTCTTGCTTAGAATATGGCTTTATGAGGGCAGAGATAGCTGTCTTTTTATTCACAGATCTATATCCCATGTGCCTAAAACAGAAGACACTTTACAATAATTATTAAGTTAATAAATAACTAATGAATCCTACAGACTACAGGTATGAAGGGGCCTTTGTGATTTGTGGATGAAGGTCATGAGAAATAAAGCACAAAGAAGAGAAGCATAAAATGCATCATGGCAAGGTCAGGAAAAAAGATATACAGACTTCCTTCTTTCTGAGAATTTGTATGCATTGAGGGGCATATTTTCTTATATTAAAATATATCTGCATCCAGGCCAGGCGCGGTGGCTCACGCCTGCAATCCCAGCATTTTGGGATGCCAGGGTGGGAGGATCATGAGGTTAAGAGACCAAGACCATCCTGGCCAACATGATGAAACCCCGCCTCTACTAAAAATACAAAAATTAGCTGGGCGTGGTGGCATATGCCTGTAGTCTCAGCTACTCGGGAGGCTGAGGCAGGAGGATCGCTTGAACCCAGGAGGCAGAAGTTGCAATGAGCAGAGATCGTGCCACCGCACTCCAGCCTGGCAACAGAGTGAGACTCTGTCTCAAAAAAAAAAAAAAAAAATCTGCATCCAGTGGATCCAATGGTAGTTCTTTTTAGTTCTTTGAAAAGTCTCCATACTATTTTCCATAGCGGTTGTACTAATTTATATTTCCATAACAGTGTGGAAATATAAAAGTCAAAGTATTCCCTTTACTCTGTCTGCATCTTTGTCAGTCTCTGTTGTTTTTTGACTTTTTAATAATAATCATTCTAACTGGTGTGAGATGGTATCTCACTGTGGTTTTAATTTGCGTTTCTCTGACCCAGCAATCCCACTAATTGATATCTACCTAAAGGAAATGAAACTGTTTTATCAAAAAGACACCTGCACTCATGTGTTTATTGCAGCACAATTTACAATAGCAAAGTCATGGAATCAACCTAAATGTCCGTCAACAGATGCTTGGATAAAGAAATATGTTTTATATATATATAATATGTATTATATATATCATCTATATATATTGTATATATATCACTCTATCTATCTATCTATCTATATATATATATATATACACACACACACACAGTGTAATACTACATATCTATATAAAGAATGAAATCATGTCTTTTGCAAGAGCATGGAAGAACCTGGAGGCCATTATCCTGAGTGCAATAACTTAGAAGCAGAAAATCAAATGCTGCATTTTTTTGCTTGTAAGTGGGAACTGAACAATGGGTATATATGGACATGCTGAGGGAAACAACAGACACTGGGGAGTTCAAAAGGGGGAAGAGTGGGAATGGGGGAGAGTTGAAAAACTACCATTTGGGCACAATGTTCACTATCCGGATAATGGGTACACTAGAAACACTAACCTCACCACTCTGCAGTACATCCATGTAATGAACCTGTCCATGTAACCCCTGAATCTATAAAAATACAAGAGGTGTACAAATACATATGTGTATATATCTAGATCTCTCTGGAAGGTCAGTTGTATATGTCTAAATATTGGCTACTTTAATTTGTCAGTATTTTCCTCTATTCGCACCACATAGACAGAATAAAGGAGGGGAGGGAAATGCTGCTTTCAAAGACACCTCTGCATTTATAATTAAGTCACTGTTCTCAGGCAAAGAATACCCTATTACTAAGAAAGGAAAAAATCATAACATTTAGAATGCATTCCTTTTAACATTTTCGTTTCAGAGTTGATCAACAAGATAAATAAAGCTTCAGTTTTTTATTCAATAGTGTATTTTATGAAAAGTTTTACTTGTATAAATGGAAAAAATATTTGGAAGTCTGAGAACAGTATGACTTGGTAGAAACATTATAAATAGGAACAGGAATATTTCAGAGACAGACTTGCATCTATGAAAACTTAATAAAAAATAAAAAGACCTCAACAAGTCAATAAGGAATAGGTTGTTTATTTCATAGGCAGTATTGGGAAAATGTACTCATCATACAGAGAAAAATAAAATTGATTCTTTTCCTAACACCATATAAAATAGTGAGTACTAGATAGATTAAAGACCTGAAGTTGCTTAATATAACTAAAAAATTAGAAGAAAATTTAGGAAGTTAACTTTGTGACCTAATAAAAGGAAAAATACTAAATCTTTAATATCAAGTAAGTATTATTTTTTCTTTTTTTGTTTGTACTTTTACTTCTTAAAGATTTCTGTTAAACAAACAAAAAATAAAAACCCATGGATAGAGGTAAGATGTAAATGACAAATAGGAAAAGTTCTTTGCAATGATTAATACCAAAAAGGAATTATTCTCTGGAATATACACAAAAATGTAAAGATTTTAAAAAATCAACAATCCCAACAAAAAAAAAAAATGGAAAACTGGCAAAAACCAATTTACAGAAGAGCAAATCTGAAAAACAATAAATCTTTTAGGAAATGATCAAAATCATTATTAATCAGATAAATAGAACTTTAAATGGTGAGCTATCGACTGACTATTTTACTGTGTAGAAAGAAAGCTGGATAATGCCAAGCATTTCCAGGGAGGCAGAATACAGAAATGCTCATTTGCTGTTACTGGAGTAGAGAAGGGCACGCTTATAATGGAAAGTAATCTGAGGCATTTTAGTTATATTTAACTGTATGTATTATCAGTTAATCACAAATTTTGTTCTTAGAGTTATATTTCTAAGAATTCCCGTGCCATTCCACATAAGAACATGTGCAACAAGATTTATTGCATATTATTTGTGAGGGTAGAAATTTTTTCAAAAGGAACTGGCTTTTCTTTAGAAAGAAAAAAAAAACGAGTTTGAGGAAGTTCAAGCCTAAGAGCTTTCTTGAATAAACTGTTTCTTTTAATTAAAAGCAGCAAGATGAACCACAGCTCACCTAGCTCACCAGAGAAAACCACGGAAAGGTATAGCTCAGAAGAGCCCTCCAGGGATTAAACAAACCTCAAAGACTGGCCTTAAAAACTACCCTTGAAAAATTTAATGTGTCAGGCTTCTGTGTTCCAGGGCAATAAAGCAAATGACCAGTAATTAGTGGAGACTAATATGCAGTGCATAATAGCAAATAAAGTAAACAGGTTAAGAGAGAGATCAAGGAAAGAAACAAAGAGAGACCTGCACAAACCGCTGTAATCTCAGATTAAAGCAGCACACAGTCAACGTTGTGCCCACTGAGGAGTGACACCAAGGGCTTAACACTGTAGGAGAAATAGTCTTCATCACATTAACCTATTCATTTCATAAAATAAATAAGCAAGTAAACAACACCAAAAACAGCCCAGAAATGAGGAGGGGAATCAATATCCAGAATAGCTACTATAAATTACCCAAAATGACTAGTTTCCTACAAAAAAATTATGAGGCATACAAAGAAACAGAAATTTGGAACTCAAGAACAGGAAAAAGTAGGCAACAACAATTTTCTGTGAGAAGGAAATATTTAATATTTAACAAAGATGTCAAAGTGTCATTATAAAAATCTTCAAAAACTAAAGGAAGCAATCTTAAGAAGTAAAGGAAGGTATGATGTCAGTGTCCCATCAAATAGAGACTATCAACAAGGAGGTAAAAATTATGAAATATAAACCAAATGATAATTCTGGAGGTAAAAGGCACAATAACTGAATGAACTGTTCATTACAGGGGTTCAACAATAGATTTGAACAAGAAGAAAGAATCAACAAACTATGAGATAGATTGACAGAAGTTAGGCAATCCAAGAACAGAAAGAAAATGGAATAAAAAAAAAGTTGAAGAGTCTCAGAGACATGCAAAGCACTTTTAAATGCAGCAACATATGCATACAGGAAGTACTAGTAGGAAAAGAGAAAGTGAAATAAGCAGAGAAATACTTGAAGAATATATAATGACAAGAAAACTTACCAATTTGCTGAAAAACATTAAGCTGCAACTCCAAATAGAATAAATGCAAAGAGATCCACACCCAGACACACGATAGAAAATTACTGAAAGCCAAAGACAAAGAGAACGTCTGAAAATAGTTAGAAAAATAAAATCAACAAAGGAACCTCAATAAAATTAACAGTTGGTGTGTTAACAGAAACAACAGATGCCAGAAGACATTGAAATGGCATATTAAATGTACTGAAAGAAAATAAAGAGCAAAACAAAAATCTTACATCCAGAAAATTATCTTTCAAAAGTCAATGCAAAATAAAGAAATGCCCATATAAATAAAAAGAGAATGTGTTGCTAGATGGCCTGCTTTACAAAAAACACTAATAAAAGTTCTTCAAGCCAAAAACAAGTAAACCCAGAGAGACATCTAAATCCACTGTATTAGGACATTCTTGCATTGCTATAATTAAATACCTGAGACTGGGTAATTTATTTAAAAGTGAGGTTTAATTGGCTCATGGTTCTGCCGGCTCTACAGGAAGCATGGCTCCGCCATCTGCTCAGCTTCTTGAGGCCTTAAGGAGCTTTTACTGATGGCAATGGCAAAGTGGGAACAGGCACTTCACTTGGTGAAAGCAGAAGCAAGGGAGTGGCAGGAGGTTGAGGTGTGGTGGGGGTGGAGGTGGGGTGCCACACACTTTTAAACAGCCACATCTCATGAGAACTCATCCACTATTGGGAGGATAACACCAAGGATTTGGTGCTAAACCATTCATGAGAAATCCACCCCCATGATCTAAATACCTCTCACCAGACCCCACCTCCAACACTGGGGATTACGTTTCAACATGAGATTTGGTGGGGACACAGATCCAAACTATATTATCCACTAAAATATAGTATATGGAGACAGAAAGAGGAAGACACAGTAAAATTCATTGCATAATGATAAAAGACAGTACAAATGCGTATTTTAGCTTCTCTTACCTGACTCAAAAGCAATCATATAAAATAATTGTATAAATCTATATGTATATAATTGTGTTGCAGTTTATACCATATATAAATGTAATATATTCGACAATAACAGCACAAAGAAATGGATGTTAACACAGTTGTATTAGAGTAAGAAAATGACACTGATTGTTAACTCTAACCCAAGGGAACATGTGAAAAGTAGCAGAAGTGAAAAACAGTAAGATAAATATAGCAAATTTTATAAATACATACTTGTGTTTCTCTCCTTTTTCAATAGACATAAAATTATATAATCATTGGCTGGGCATGGTGGCTCACACCTGTAATCCCAGCACTTTGGGAGGCCAAGGAAGGCGGTTCACCTGAGGTCAGGAGTTCGAGACCAAGACCAGCCTGGACAATGTGCAGAAACCTCGTCTCTACTAAAAATACAAAAATTAGCCGGGCAAAAATACAAAAATTAGCTGGGCATGGTGGCGCGCACTGTAATCCCAGCTACTCGGGAGGCTGAGGCAGGAGAATCACTTGAACTCAGGAGGCAGAGGCTGCAGTGAGATGAGATTGCACCACTGCACTCCAGCCTGGGCAACAGAGAGAGACTCTGTCTCAATAAATAAATAAATAAAATTATATAATCATTATAACTGTTTTTTGGGCCAATAATATTATATACATACAGGAAATATATGCATAACTATAGTCAGAAAGGGAAAAAAGTAAAGGGGATGAGAGAATACAGCTATATGTAAGTAATTTATTTGTCACGTGAAGTACCTTCTGATAATTTAAGATGTATATTGTAAGCCTAGCCAAACCACTAAGAAAATAACACAAAACCTTTAGCTAAAAAGAAAAAAAGACCTTTAATGGAATTAAAACATTGCAATAAAAAATATTTACTTAGTACAAAAAAAATCAATAAATGAAGAATAGAACAAAGAAGATATGAGGCATTTAGAAAACAAAAAGTATTATAGCGTGCTTAAATTCAATTAGATTATTAATAAAAAATTGTGAATGAAATACATAATCTAATTAAGGCAGAGATTGTCACACTAGCTAAAAATCAAGATGTAATTATATGTCGCCTAAAGAGACACATTTTAGATTCGGAAGTACAAATATTATACAGCAGAAGTAAAAATAGGGAAATATATATATCATGCAAATAACCATTAGAAATTTGCAGTGTCTATATTAATATCAGCCAATTTGATTTTATAAAGAAAAATGTAAATGGAAATTCAAAAGGGTATATAATTTCACAATAGGGTCAACTTATTGGGAAGTTATAACATTGATAAACTTACATCAAACACCTGAGTCCCAAAAGATGCCAAGCAAAGGCAGATGCAATTAAGGGCAGAAATAGATAATTCAACAATAGTATCTGGAGACTTCAGTATCTGTCATTAAGTAATGGATAGAAGAACTCATTAAAAGATCAACAAGGGAATTAAAACATACATAACACTTACACAAATTAGATCTAAGAAAACCTATAGAACACTCAATCAAAAAGAATACACATGAAAAACACAAGAAGGCCAGATGAAGTGGCTCATGACTGTAATCTCAGCATTTGGGAGGCCAAGGCAGTCAGATTGCTTGAGCTCAGGAGTACAAGACTAGCCTGGGCAACATGGCAAGACTCTGTCTCTACTAAAAATACAAAACAAAGTTTGGGTGTGGAGGTGCCTGCCCTCACAGACAACCCAGAAACAATACTTAGCATCCATCAATCCAATCAAGTTGACAATATTAACCATCACAGGGGTTGTGGGGTGATGCCTAAGGTTAAGTGTACTTTTTTCCCTTCTGTTTCTGTTTTTTGTAATGAAACTATTCTAAAACTGGGGGCTGAGGTAGGAGGATTGCTTAACCATAGGAAGTGGATTTGCAGTGAGCTCAGATCCCACCATTGCACTCCGGCTTGGGTGACAGAGCAAGATCCTGTCTCAAAATAGAGAAACACAAGAAACATTATCTGGATTTAGCACAGGCCATTTGCTAAGTCAATAAACAAGCCTCAATAAATTTAAAATTATTGAAATCATACCAATTGTACACTTTGAGTGAAATTTAAAAGTAATAAAAGAAATTTGGGAAATTCATAAATAAGACCACTAGATAACAAATTGGTCAAAGAAGACAAGTTGAATTAGAAAATACTCCGACTTATTGAAGATGAATACAATGTAAAACACAGAAGATGCTGCTAAAACAGTGCTTAAGGGAAAATGCACACCCTTAAACGTCTAAATTTAAAAGAACACAAGAACTTCCACCTTAAAAAGAAGAGGAAACTAACCCCAAACCAAGCAGAAGGAAAGGTATAATATGAATTCATGTTGAAATTAATAAGGTAAAAAATAGAAAAACAATAAAGTCAAGGAAACCAGTTTATTTAAGGTTTGCAAAGTAGATACATCTTTAGCTAGACTGGCTAAAAAATGTTTAAAAAATTATTATGGAATAAAACGAACAGTTATGACATGGTTGGATTATGTACCCAGAAGAAATATTTTTTTTTTAAATCCACATAAAAACATATACATGAATGTCCATAGCTGCATTTATACTAGCTAAAATTTGTAATTAACCCAAATGTTGATCAACTAATGAATACAATATGGTATACCCATGCAATGGTATATGATTCAGCAATATAAAGAATTGAATTGTTATGTGCTACGCCATGGAAAACCTTGAAAACATGCTAAACGAACTACATCAGACACAAAAGAGTACATATGAATTATCCATGGTAGGCAAATCTACAGAAAGAGAAAGTAGATTAGTGGTTGTCTAGAGCTGTGGGATAGGGGTTGTATTAATCAAGTTCTCCAGAGGGACAGAAATAATAGGATATAGGTATATATAAAAGGTAGTTTATTGAGAATTGACTCATGATCACAAGATGAAGTCCTAGGATATGCCGTCTGCTTACTCAAATGCTAATCTCTGGCAACACCCTCACAGACAACCCAGAAACAATACTTTGCATCCTTCAATCCAATCAAGTTGACACTTAATATTAATCATCACAGGGGTTGTGGGGTGATGCCTAAGGTTAAGTGTACTTTTTTTGCTTCTGTTTTTGTTTTTTGTAATGAAACTCTTCTAAAACTGATTGTGATAACTGATGCACTACTCTCCAAATATACTAAAAGCCATTGAATTGTGTCTTCATGTGGATGATTTGTATGGTATGTGAATTTTATCTCAATTAAACTATTTAGAAAAATATATCTAAAACTATATTAATAAAATATTCCCATTTTAAAAAGAACATGCAAATATTATAACATGAAACAAATAACAGATAAAGATGTTTGCCCATTATGGGGAGATGGAGTTTGGGGGGAGATTATAGATAAAAGGAAGTTTAAAAAAAGAGTGAAACCTTGCTACGACAGTGATAGCACTGCGTGGTGATCTAAGGAATGCAATAATCTCAAACCTCTGCAACTAAAGCCCAAAGAGACGCTCGCTAGCAGGTAATCTGTATTTGGTTGCTGTGAAGATTTAATGAGCTGAAAAATGTCAGACGCAAAGGAGATACTCAAGAGATAGGAGCTACCATTTTTTTTTTTTTTTGAAATGGAGTCTTGCTCTGTCGCCCAGCTGGAGTGCAGTGGCGCGATCTTGGCTCACTGCAACCTCTGCCTCCCGGGTTCAAGCGATTCTCCTTGCCTCAGCCTCCCGACAGCTGGGACTACAAGCGCGTGCCACCACACCCGGCTAATATTTTTTGTATTTTTAGTAGAGACTAGGTTTCACTGTGTTAGCCAGGATAGTCTCGATCTCCTGATCACGTGATCCGCCCGCCTGGGCCTTCCAAAGTGCTAGGATTACAGGCGTGAGCAACCGCACCCCGCCGGGAGCTACCATTCTTATTAGTCTTACTGTGAAAGCAGGAGAGAAGACAGAATGGGCTTCAGCATCTTGATGCCTTCACGATCTCTTTTTTAGCTAAGAAGCAGGACTGCACCCTTCCTTTTGGTGGTTTTTCCACTAAGAAGCAGGGGAATTAGCACTTCAACAGCTGTATAGACAAGCTATAGCAGTAGCAGTCATGACAAGAAGGGATCTCTGCTTTTCAGATTAGAGGTCTGGTTTTCAAACTTTGACATGCATCATCTCTACCTGAAAGGCTTGTTCAAATGTAGATTGCTGGGCCCCATCTGAGCTTCTAAGTCAGTAGTTCATGAGTGAGGCCTAATGATATAATTTTATAACAAGTTCCAAACTACTGCTGCTATTGCTGTCGGTTGGGAGACCACATTCTGGGAAGAACTGCGCTAGAATCTTGAAATTCAGCACACTTGAAGGTTATCCAAAGAGAGATGATGAGACAAGTCAGTGATAAGATGACATCAACTGGCATTATTCAGGATGGAGATATAATGTGAATCTGAAGATTACCACCTCCTTTGCCCAGAGTCCCTAAGAAATCCTAAATGACAAAAACTGAATTCTGAGTATCTACCACTTAGGCCATTTATAGAGTTTTCCAAATGAAAGTGGCAAAAACAAAAGTTGACCTCAACAAAAATTAGGCTTCTGCCAGACTATACAAAATTTTTCCATTATGCACCTTCCCTTCTTCCCCATAGCCAATGAAATAGCGAACCATAAAAAAAAAAAAAATCCTGATGTGTACATTGCATTAATTCTTCACTGTTAACCATAGCCTCTGGGTTACTGAACAAAAGCTTATTGTAATTTGAATATTATATGTGTATATGCATACATATATATGTACACACACATATATACATATATGTGCATGTCATTTTATATAATCTTATTGAGATTAATAGCAACTGGGAAATGCCCCAAAATGGTGTGTAATTGTAAGATTTAGTAGGTAACTTAGGAGTTAAACCTGGGCTACATTATATTAGTCATGCATCTATTGGCTAATCACTTACTCCTCTAAGATTATTTAATTGCCTATAATTTTGGCAAAAAGCTACTTATTTTGAGGATTAGAGAAAATTCTATGTTCTGCTCCTATCACATTGTAAGCACTGCATAAACACTTGTATTATGCCACCATCTTACTGCAAATTGTTTTGAAATGCCTAGTATATCACATGTAGCGAACAGTACATCTGTTATTTGCAGAAATACGATAAGACATTGATGTTCAAATGAATACAGCATAGCAATTTTTCTTGAGTGAAGCCTTAATTTTGAGGCATAATACATGGAAAGATAGTTATTCTGCAGAAAACACAAATAAAAACAAATTATAAAAAATAGAGATGTAAAGAAATTGTGAGTAGAATGGAATTATAAATCCACATTAGAATGTGAAGTTTTGAAAATAGTCAATATAAAACCTTTCATCACATAATATCTAACTACTTTCATATTCATATTTACACTGATAAAACTAATGAGCTTTATAATCAAAAGTGACAGTATTTTGCCTACCTACAATGATTATTGCTCCCTACGTATGGATTTTTCTCTGAAGCCATGTTTTTAAAAGTCCTACAATTTGCTTTGAAATCGTTTATTTCTCTCTCACAAAATGAATAACCTTTAAAATCAGGATCTAGAATGGCTACATTTTATTAATGATACTTAATAATTCTCTAACATGCATGCACGTGTGCATCCATGTGTGTATGTGTCTATATAACATTACATATATCTACACATATACACAGATATATTTGTGTATATGTATGTGTTTATGTATATATACAAACCACAATCTCCCCAAAAAGAGGTAGTCTGATAGAACTATCTAATCTCACCCATCTGTGGTTTTCATTCTGTGCTTTACGACACACTAAGAAAAGATGATTGACTTATATAGAAATACTAGGAGAGGACTAAGTTTTTAGGTTTCTGTACCTTTATTGCCCTTAAACAGACCAATACGGTCTTGCTTGTCTTTTATCTGTTTATTTATTTTTATACTTTACATGGAATTACTTGAAGAAAAAGTATAAAGATGAAAACTAATGTTAGAAAATTACTTATTTTGGAAGATTAACATCCTTGCTGTTAGCATGCACCTGCATCTTACCACTTCCTAGCATAAAGTGAACAGAGGCTTGAGAAACACTAGCTTCCTTAGTGGTAAGCAGTAGTAAAGCAAAACTCTTGAGGGACAGTTTTCACCATATCACTAATGCTTAAGCAAGGTACAGAAAGAATTACAGGCCTTCTTAATGAGAAAAAATAAGTAGGCAATAAGGGGGAAAATATCATGTGGAATATGTTTATCTTTAATCAAAATTATAGAAAGATAGTGTTAGTAGGATTTTTATAGAATTAAAAATAAAAGTCCAGACCTGAGAAATATCTAAGAATCATTTAGTTTCATGTTAGGAAGACCTGCCTAAAGATGACATTTTAACCCCCTTTTTGCCCTCCAGAAAGCATGTGGATTAGATATAAGGCAACTAATTAGATTCTGCATAAATTTTTTAAAAAATGATAATTATTTTAAGGAATTTTGAAAACATAAATACTTGGGTTATCATTATATATCAAAGAGACAATAATCCTGACAATCATGAGTCATGAAAATGTGCTTTCTTTGGAGGGAAAATTTACATACTAGATGAATATTCAATTTATTCTGCCTGAATACTTGTATTTGATTCCATCAGTTATGAGTTCACTCTATGCTATCAAGAGAAGAAATAATTATTTCTTAATTTAATGTTCAGCCATGTATAGGTGGCATTATATGCAAAACTAAATCAACTTTAAAGACTGGCATAGGGCAACTTCTTTAATTAGCTAAGGCTAGGATCTCTGCAGAAGCTCTGTAAGAAGAGTGTGTCAATTGTAGTATGAACTTGGCACCTGTAGCCAATGATAAGGTTATGGTGTAGCTGTATTCTAATTTGACAGAATAAACACCTGCCATTAACAGGGCTATGACCCTAAAAGCCTGTGCACATGTGTTGTGGCCTTTTAATGAATCTAGAAAAGTCAGTGTCAGAAACCGTTGATTTCTAACTCTGACCCTGTGAAGAAAAGCATGCTATAACTCAAATTCCTACTCTGAAAAACATAGTCAATTAACTGCCAAGAAAAATGAAGGAGGTTTTTGACCTCAATTCCACAAACATTTTTACTTTATTTCTGAAAGCATACCACAATCACCAGGCTGGCCACAGAATTCCCTAGCAGGTGCTTTATGGTGAGCTAAAGCCTGGCTGGTAAGACAGAGAAGCCATTAAAGGGCACTAAAGCAAAAATTAAAGTGGCACAGTATAGTGGCTTGTCTGCTGGGAGATCACAGAGTAGCAGATGGAACAGTCTAGAAAGTAGCAATCAAAGCTGTGTACCATCAGAAACATGGGGAAGATATTGTTACAAAGCAAGGGAGAAAAGCAAATTCTGCCAGGCATGGCAAAATGTGACTAGCATTGATGGACAATTCTCATGGGTTATTGTGTTACTTTTCACTATTGATTATGCTAGCATAGCATTGCACAGATAGATGAGGAAAAGGTTGTTTGAAATCCTATTTAGTATTATAAATGCAGAAGGCACTGTACTAGATCTTGGGAGGAATCAAAATAAGAAGCAGTCTTTATTCTTAAGTATAATCCAAAGGGAAATGTATAGCTTCCACATGAGTATATTCAATATAAACATGGGTTATTTCTTCAGCCATGCATGTAGACAAGTACTGACACGAAGAACAAACATGAAAACGCATCTCAGAAATTATAATACATCATAGCCAGTCACAGGGACCATTATTTATAAAACATACCTGGCTTTCTAATAATAATTATGAAGACAACTACGGCTACATAGCTGGATTTCTGGAATAAACCATTTCATACAAAACAGAAGCTCTTAAATACTATGTGCAGAAGCATTTTGTTGGGAATGGAGGAGAAAATAAAAGTATATATGTCTGGGTTCTAGATTTAAATGAATACAACATTCAGTGATAAGTATAAATATGGAAAATATAATTACAAGAGAGCTATAGGTGAAGTTTGCTCAAAATATAAAGTATAAAGGAAGCAATATTTGGAAAGCACAGAGAGATAACATTTGAGGTAGGTCTTGAATAATGAGCAGCAATTTAAGAAACAGAAAAGGGAGATGGCATTCCAGGTATGTTTAACAGTAAGCAGAAAGACACAAAACATTAAGTATCCTGCCATTCAATTGCTCAGTATGATTCTAAAACAGTGCCCTTTCCTATTAGTCTATATTATGTTGGATTTGTTTTTTTTTTTTGGCTTCTAAACTGTCTAAACTTTCTCTAAGCTTTCTAAACTATCTACAGAAATCATTGTTGTATTCCCCATATCTAATAAAATGTTTCTAATTTAATAAATATATAATAAATATTTTAAATGATGACTAAAATAGTGAAATTTTTATTTTGGTCCCTAATGTTTCCTGTGTTATGATCCACATAACAAAACTGGCTTACAAGATAAAATAAATTCTAGATGTTTTAATGGATAAATCCCAAACTATCTGTGGCTTCACAGAATTAAAGTTCATTTCTACTCACAAAACACATTTCAATGTAAGTGTACCTGATCTCATAGTTCACCTCTAAAAAATGACGTAGGGCTTCGGCGCTTTTTTTATGGATGTTTGGACATCCTCTCCTCATGGCTCTTCTAGATGGCAGACATGTAACTACATCCATTTTCTTTGCTTCTTATAGATGGCAGACATGTAACTAAATCCTACTATTTATAAGAAGCACAGAAAATGGAGGATTGTGTGAGATCTTTTTTTTTTTTTTTTAAAGTAAGAGGACTAAAAATGACGGTTGACCGGAAGTGGTGGCTCAGGCCTGTAATCCCAGCACTTTGGGAGGCTGAAGCTGGTGGATCACCTGAGGTGAGGAGTTCAAGACCAGCCTGGCCAAAATGGTGAAACCCCATCTCTACTAAAAAATACAAAAATTAGTTGGGCGTGGTGGTGTGCCCCCCAGCTACTCAGGAGGCTGAGGCAGGAAAATCGCTTGAACCCAGGATGTAGAGGTTACAATGAGCCAAGACTGTGCCATTGCACACCATCCTGGGAGAGAGAGCAAGACTCCGTCTAAAAAAAAAAAAAAAAAAAAAAAAAAAAGATGTATAGTCACTGTTGTGCTAAAGTTAGTTTACAATGGTTTACTGTGCTTGTCTTTTTCTACCTGTATATTCAGTTTATGTTGGTAGTTTGAAACTGGCCATGGGAGACTATTTAAGCAACAGAGATTGGCAAACTCTACAAATCCAGGTTGCTGTTATCATCATTATTATTACTGTTATTAATTTAATTATTTTATAATGAACCAACCTACCAGCAAACCAGTCTAATATTTCCATTCATTTCACTGATTTGGCATTGTTAGATAAAAAAGGACATCCAAATATATTTGAATTTCAGATAAACAATGATTGTAATTTTTATATGATTATATAGCAAATATTTGAGGAAGTATACTTTTACTAAAAGAAGTGTTGTTTATTTCAAATTTAAATTTAATTTACTCTCCTCCATTTTTATCTTTTCAATCTGTCAATATATGATGATTCAGACTACTGTAATAAGCCTGAAACATGGCGTTTACCTGTATTTTTAAGAAAAACAAACTAGATTTTAGTTAGTTGGTTTAGTGTATTTTTTTATAGCTATAACAGAATATCTGACAGTTGGTAATATATGATGAACAGAAATTTAGTAACTCACTGTTTTGGAAGTTGGGGAGTTTAATATTAAGATGTTGACATCTTGCTGTGACATCACATGGCAGAAGGCAAGTAGACTAGAGAGAGTAAGGAGGCTGATCTCACCCTTTTATAATGCATCAGTTGCACCCATGAGAGTGGGGCTCTCACGGTCTTATCACCTCTTAAAAGTCTTACTACCTAATACTTTTACAAAGGCACTTAAATGTCAACAGAAGTTTTAGAGCAATATTTAGACTATAGCATTAACACATAGAAATATGTGTCACAGTAACTTAAGTTTCCATGTAGCTATGCAGGTTTAATATCTTTCTTTTGCCTCCCCAGATACAATCTCCTTCTTTCTTCACCTTGCCCTGTTCCTGAATTAGCTATCCTGTAATAACTGCATCAAAATGCTTCTTTACTCTCGGTCATTTGGCAGCATAGATAAGAAACTGTAAAATCAGAGTAACTTGGGGTCCAGAATATGTATTCCCTGCCATGTCATCATACCTTGGTCATACCCCCAACCCCATACTAAAGACCACCATCCTTTCAGGATTACTTTTTAATAACTATCATGAGATATTTATTTCTCTATATGTGTAGATAAAACTTTGTAGGTCTTCTCCTCGTTATGGCTGTTTTTTTTTTTTTTCTGCTCCCCTTGTTGATATGTTACTTTCTGAAAAGGTTTGCTGAGATTTAGAATTAGGTTTCCAATCATTATTGTCCCAGGAACATAGATCATGTGGCTGACAACACTTAACCCTTCAAGTACCTCTGAAATTTTTTTTCCGGAGAAGAAAATGGCTCCACTGCTCTGAAAGTAAACTAGTATTGCCTTGAAAAATATATCAATGACTAAATCTGAAAGAGTTGTCCAACTTTCCGAAGTTTCAGAAATTCTTTCTGTTATGGCTTTTTACTTTTATACCATTATGGTCAGAAAATATTCTGTATAGGATTTCAATTATCTTAAAAATGTTAAGACTTGTTTTGTATCCCAACATATGATCCATCCTGGAAAAAATTCCATGTGCAGTTAATAAAAATGTATATTTTACTACTGTGGGATGAAATATTCCGTTATTTTATGTTAGGACCATTTGCTCTAGAGTGCAATTTAAATCCAATGCTTCTTTTTAAATTTTCTGTATGGATGATTTGTCCACAGCTGAAAATGAAGCGTTAAAATCCTTTACTGTTATTGTACTATCATTATCTCTCCCTTTAGATCTATTAATATTTTCTTTATAGATTTAGGTGCTCCAATGTTGAGTGTATATATATTTGCAATTCTTATGTCCTCTTGCTGAATTGACCGTTTTATCATTATATTATGATGTTCTTTGTCTCTTTTTACAGTTTTTGATTTACAGTCTATTTTATGTTAAAACTATAGCTACTCTTACTCTCTTTTGGCTTCTACTGCATGAAATATCTTTTTTCACCCCATACTTTCAGTTCTATGTGTGTGCTTACAGATTAAGTGAGTCTCTTGTAAGCATAACTTAGTTGATTCTTACCTTTTTATCCATTCAACTATTCTATGTTTTTAAATTTTATAATTCAATCCATTTAGGCTCAAGGTAATTATTGATAGGTAAGGACCTACTACCGCCATTTTTTTAAATTGGTTTCCATGTTGTATTGTAGGTAATTTCTTCCTTTCTTTCTCTCTTCCTGTCTTCATTTTAGCCAAGTAATTTTCTGTAGTAGTATATTTTAATTCCTTGCTTTTAATTTGTAGTGTATATTTTTTAAGTTTTCGCTTTGTTGTTTGCATGAAGCTTACAAAATACATCTTATAACGGGTTATTTAAAGCTAATAACAACTTCGATTGCAAATTAAAAAACAAAAACAAAACAGGCAAAAAATCTACACTTTATCTCCACTCCCCACCCACATTTTGAATTTCCAATGTCACAATTTACATCTGTTGACATTTGATGTTACATAACATTTAACAGATTATGAAATTATTATATAAATAAAATATTATTTTAATAGTTCTTTTTTGTTGTTGTTGTTGAGACAGAGTCTCGCTCTGTTGCCAGCCTGGAGTGCAGTGGCGTGATCTCGGCTCACTGCAACCTCCGCCTCCCGGGTTCAAGCGATTCTCCTGCCTCAGCCTCCCAAGTAGCTGGGAATACAGGCATGCGCCACCATGCCCAGCTGATTTTTGTATTTTTAGTAGAGACGGAGTCTCACTGTGTTGGCCAGGATGGTCTCGATCTCCTGACCTCCTGATTTGCCCGCCTTGGCCTCCCAAAGTGCTGGGATTACAGGCTTGAGCCATGGTGTCTGGCCAGTTCTGTCTTTTAAGCTTCATACTAAAGATATAAATGACTTCTGTGCCACTGTTATCTGTATTATTCTGAATTTGACTATGTACTTACTTTTACCAGTGAATTTGATACTTTCAGCTGTTTCCATGGTACTCATTGGCATCCTTTTTATCAACTTGAACAACTTCAGATAAACTCGCTAAGTATTTGCTTGGAAAAATTAATATCTGTTTATTTCTGAAGGAGAGATTTCCTGGGTACAGTACTGTTCATTGGGATGTGACAGGAGTGAGCTTCCTTCAAGGTGTCCCAGAATGGTGAGGAAGCTGAGTGTCCACCTCTAATTCACATTTTCCTTTGTACAAATTGTGGGTCTAGGATATTTTTGTGCGCACGTCACTGCGCTGGCTTGGAGTATGGCCAGCAAGGTAACAGACAACCATTCTCTTACTATTTGATCACATTTATCTTGTTTTTGTGGTCCAAGTAGGCATCTTAGGCTCACTCCCTAGTACTGGGATATTAAGGGTGATATTCTTGCATGTGGATAATTGCAAGTTTAATTTCTGTGTGGGAAAGTGAAGCTGGGAAATTTTTATTTTGCTATCTTGCTTATGTCACTTTTTAGATGATAATTTAACGTCTGTAAATAAAGAATGGAGGCAAGTATGGGGCCAAAGGATGTTACTCCATGTTATTAGTGATATTTTCTCTGTTAGTAATTGAGTTAAATAATTTTTTTATCATTAACTGTGCAACAATCATGCTTAAAAGTTTTAATATGGTCATACAAAAACAATCTTATTTTCTAATATTTTATAACTATATTTTAAGCAAGATGCACCATAGGTTTATAATAAGATATAAAACTATGACATAAAATAGCTCTCAGCTTCATGTAAAACATAATACCATGAAGTTTCTAATATTTTGGCAAGAAAAAAATCAGAAAATGAACACTTAATTACTTGAGAGAACTACATTGAAAGAAATGATCTGACATAGTATATTAGTAGTTTATCTGAAATGCAATTATAATGACCACACATCAGAATTGTATAATTTAGAAAAATCTATTCCTTATTTCTTATGATTATGGTTGGCTCTATTTGCAGACTCTACACGTTTTCTGAAATATCAATCTTAAAAGAAAATGGATTGGGCAACCTTGAAAGAAAATAAGATCTCAGTATCTAGAGGTATTTAACTGTAGACTTGTGACCATTGCAGGGAAAATGCTTCATCTACAGTCCAAATATTGATTGTTTTATTGATCTTAGCTGTTTTTAAGATCAGTCTCCTGAAACCCTGAGGTTTTTAAATTCCTCCTTCCATCGTCCCTAAATAAAATTTAACGAGTATTTGAATAGGCATTACTGATCTTACAAATATTTATTCATAATCATTCAAATATGATTTAGAAAAAACTGTAAGGACATATGAAATTATTAAGTTGCATGCACTGATAATGAAATAATTGTAAGGCAGTAAAATTTATCAAAAATCATATGTAAAAACGAGCTTTTATTCAGTTAAATTAAAAAAATCACACACACAACTATTTTCTATTTGGATGTTTTGTTACTTATGCTTACATATTCAATTAATCATCCAAAGTGTATGTATTGAACCTACTATGTACAGTGAAGTTTGTATATATTATGAAAATAAATAAGTTATAATCTTTCTTCGGAGCAGTTTTTGTATATATAAAAGAATTCTTAATAAGTATAGCTCAGGAGCTTATTCACTAGGAAGACCTCTTAATTTTTTTTTTTTTGAGGTGGAGTCTTATTCTATTGCCCAGGCTGGAGTGCAGTGGTGCGATCTCGGCTCACTGCAACCTCCACCTCCCGGGTTCAAGCGATTCTCCTGCCTCAGCCTCCTGAGTCGCTGGGATTACAGGTGCGCACCACCAAGCCCTGTTAATTTTTGTATTTTTAGTAGAGATGGGGTTTCATCATGTTGGCCAGGCTGGTCTTGAACTCCTGACCTCAAGTGATCCACCTACCTTGTCCTCCCAAAGTGCTGGGACTATAGGCGTGAGCCATCACGCCCAGCCTGACCTCTTAACTTATGATGGATTATGCAGTTTTATTTTGTGCTCTCAAAGCAGATCTTCCATAGTTCTATAATAGACTTGTTATTTTACATAGAATTATGTATTTATTTGTCAGTTTCATCAACTTGTTTATATCTTGAGAACAGGGGCCATTTTTTATGTCTGTAAAATTTTAATAACCTAGAACAAATGACAGAATTCAGTAAAATCTAAATAAATATTCATTGATTTCAATTTTTAGGCTGCTCTGTTGTATCAATGATAGTTTCAGCAGAAAGTAGATGTCACACATAAGCTAAGGGATTTCAGAAGTTTTTAAACACAGGGCAATTTAAAAACCTGTGGGTAGGCTGAGGTCACTCCACAAAGATTACTGCAGTACCTGGGATTAACAGCAAAACTCCTTTACTCCAATACCTGAAAGGCAGAATCAGGACACAGTTGCTGACAACCCAAGAAAATATCTTGATGATAAAGTTTGCCTCATATGAGTTAGGAACAAAGAACCAAAGGAATAATATTTCTATTACATAATCCCTCAATTCACCAGGCTCTTTCCAGTTGCTACCATTTGCTAAACCCAAATAAAAGCAATAGAGCAAGCTCTTTGGGTTTGCCTCCTAAAGAAAAGAGCAGAATGGAAAACGGTGAAATGTGAATAAGGAGAGACAACAGAGGATGATACCCATCAAATATATGGAAAATATGGCATGTGAATGTCAACACAACCCAAATTATCAGTAAAAAAGAAAATACAAATAAAAGGTAAAAAATGTTAAGCAACTACAACAAAATAAATCCCACACCTGTAATCTTTTGTTTGAGAAACTATTAATATGAACTCATTTATTTTTCATAGTAAAATAATGCATGTTGGGAGGCTCTGAACACAAAAATGGATGAGAAACGATGACAACCTCGTATCAGTGGAGACCCTAGTGTTTAGATTATGGTCATTAATACCATTTTTCCACTGACAAGAATTTGAACTCTTTAGCAATGTAACTAATTTCAGGATGATGCACAGAGAGTACCAAACCATCCCTGATTATATTGTTGGGCCAAAAGGCAAAGGAAGCAAAGATTGCTGGAGTTTTGTGAAAAGGACACACAAAAAAAGGTAAATGAATTACATCAATGTCAATTTTTATTGTGATATAGAATTATATAGGTATGTCATATGTTACCATTGGGGGAAACAGGCTAAAAAGTATATAGGATCTCTTTATGTTTTAAATTTCTTTCAACTGCATGTAAATCTCTAGTGACGTCAAAATTCAAAAAATTAAGAAAACCATAAGGCCAGTAGATATCTAGATATCTATTGCAAATAAAAAGACAATAAAGAAAATAATCAGAAACAAATGCTCATATGGAATTTAATGGCTTTTGAATTAATGAGCAGAATAGCTTGACCATCAAAAAACAGTAACATACACAGTATATTAAAAGACATGAAATATCTAGAGATCCATAAGTTCACAATGATATTTAAAGAAAACCTATAATATGCCATGCACTTTGTTAGGACACCAATTATCTTGAAAATTGGTAAATACAAGAAAAGATTTAAACATTTATACTACTTTCCCTGGTAACCTGTATTTCAGGTTAACCAAATAATTCACCCAGAAAACTTGTTTTATATAGAGATGAACTGAATCTAAAATTTTTTGATATTATTATTATTTAAGCTCTCATGAAATAATAGACTGATGCAATAGTTATAAATGCAAGCTAAAACTGTCAGGTAAATGATTAATGGGGACTTTTAATATGAATATATCAGGCTGATAAGACCTGATCCAATGGATGGAATTACTTTAGGAAACGAAAAGTGCGGGGGATGAAAAAAAAAGGAGAAGGAAGAAGAGAAGAACAAAGATAAAAAGAATAAGAAGGAGAAAGAGGAATAGCAGAAGGAAAATGAAGATGAAGAATGGGAGCAGGAGGAGTTGTGGGGAGGAAAGCACGAGGGGCAGTGCTAGCAGAAAAATATCAAAACATGTATAACCCAAATTTACCATTCAGATATATACACTGCAACCACTCCAGCAAGGCAAATGTCCCCCAACTCATTCAAGGAAGAGGGATGTTTAAAGGTGAAAAAACTTTCAGTTTTTTTTTTTTTTTTTTTTTTTTTTTTTGAGACTGAGTCTTGCTCTGTCGCCAGGCTGGAGTGCAGTGGCGCGATCTCGGCTCACTGCAACCTCCGCCTCCTGGGTTCAAGTTGATTCCCCTGCCTCAGCCTCGCGAGTATCTGAGACTACAGGCACACGCCACCACGCCAGCTAATTTTTTGTATTTTTAGTAGAGACGGGGTTTCACCATGTTGGCCAGGATGGTCTCAATCTCCTGACCTCCTGATGCACCGCCTTAGCCTCCCAAAGTGCTGGGATTACAGGCATGAACCACCGCGCCTAGCCTCAGTTACTTTTTGAGAAAAAAAGTTTGCTCTTTACTCTGACTTTCGTTGCTTTTAGATTTTAGGGTAGATAAAGAAAAATACTTTAATCCTTTTGTGAAAATGACCTTTGATATGCTTGGAGTCATTTCACATATTCCTCTTCAGATATTTGGGCTAAACCATAACTTCCAAATATCTGAGGTCAAAGTAAAGATTGTTACTTTTAGCTAAATTAAAGTTTTCTCACAATGTTTAAAAGATCATGAAATATTTTATTATACCCCTTAAAAAAGCAGTTTGAACATTTTTGTATTAAGAAAGTGATAATCATCAGTCAATTCGCAGTAGCTTTTCTATTCCTACTCAATTTTGAAAATGTTTTTATGCCTCCTTTAACTGAGGATCATTACTCTTCTCAAGGGATTATTTCAATTCTGTTTGGTTTGTTCTACCAACATATAAAATAAATGCTATAGTGGCAGTATTCGTGGCTTGTTATTTTTCATAGGGAAATTATGAGCACCTCACATAGAAACTATCTATTTTACTGCCAATTTTTTTCACATTTAGTTCTCTCAACAATATAAACTCTCTATTTTGCCATGTATTTCTCTTTTCTGAACAGTCTCAAAGTTAAAACTACCACTGCCTCCAAGGATGTCTTGATTATATGTGTGGATTTGAACATTTTGCTCTCTAAGGACAACACCTCATTTTGTCCATACAAATGCAGCTTAAGACAGTAGATGCAGGATATTTCTTTATGTATATATCCAACGATCTTATGCCATTTTATCTCAATTGTTTTCCTGTTAATATTTATAATTTTGTACCATAGTTTATTATCCACCTCCCTTGAAAATTAGTTTTATATATTTACCAGGAAACTTTTTTTTTAGTTATAACTTTGAGTAATACATCTCATCCATCTATGGAATAGAAGATGAAGAGGCAAGTAGAACTTTTTTGTTTCATAAAGCCAGTATTTTCTGTCTCTGTCTCTGTTTCTTTCTTTTCTAATTACTGCATAATTACTTCTCAATAATGAGACTTGAGAAAACTAGAAGTTACATTTGCTGTTCTTCCCCTTTATCTTATAAGTTATATCTGCAGAAGACAATATATTGCTCCAAAATATCTAATTTGAGTGGATTTAGTTACAACAGTACCTGGCTTGTCAGAAACTATCTATTCTGTTATGATTTGGGCCTAATCTCTTTCTTTGAATTTTAGAATAAAATAATTTCCTTTCTTCTATGTTTACTATTTCAGACATGCCCTCTTTTCCAGAAGTCAGTCCTAGGTGATCTTTCCTTATAGATGTTTAACCCACCTGTTTATTTTCTTTACTATAAGCTCTTTATTCTGTATTACTGACTTACTATCTAAAACTTTATCCTAATTATTTCCTCACCACATCAGCTAACAGTATAATTGTCTGTCCAAAATTATAATTCCTGACACATGTCTAATTTGTGCTGGGCATGTTCTAAGCACTTTACACATAAAATACATTAAAACCTTAAAAAACTGTGACAGAGACATTTTTGATAGGCTGTTCATGTATTCATCAATATTTAGTTTCATAGTTCTGGGAACACAGAAAGATTACACTTCCCCACTATGTGATCTGCTTTGGCCAATTAAATGTGAGCAGGGATTCTTTCACTTGAGGATAGGAGTGTTTAACTGGCTTGGTTCAATTCCCCAGGGCCCTCATGAGAATTATGGGATCATGGATATTGTGTAGATCACTTGATAATGAAACCATCTGAGGTTGTAAACCTATTCATGGATGAAAGCTGACCTCATCAATCACTCAGACTGGCAGCAGACTTGGCACGAGTAAATAATAAACTTTGGTTGTATTAATTCACCGAGAGTTTGATACAAGATTCTAAATTCCCTAGTTATTATCAAAGAGTTCTCTGAAAATATATATATACACACACATACATACACAGAGTGATTAATGTATAGAGGATATGTGAAGTAATAACACTAAAGGAGATACTCAAGAGGAAAAGGAAAAGACTGAGTCATACAAGCACTCCCAAATTAAAAAAAGAAAAAAAAAGAAAAGAGCAGAGAGCAGCAAAGGAACAAGGGAGAAGGAAAACAAAAAGAGCATAGTTAACCATTGAAAGCTCTGATAAATAAATTTATAATTGAGATTTGACAATTGCATTTAGCAACATGTGGAATACTGGTGACACTGATAATTTTAGAAGAGTGATGTGAGAAAATTATTTATTTTAAAATAAGTGCACAGCAACACACTATATCACATAGAATATTAAAGGACTCATTTCATTAACAAAAGTGAATTGTCTAAATATAAAATATATTTTGGCAACACCATGTATTAGCCTGTTTTCACACTGCTGATAAAGACACATCTGAAACTAGGAACAAAAAGAGATTTAATTGGATTTACAGTTCCACATGGCTGGGGAGGCCTCAGAATCATGGTGGGCACAGTGGGGAAAGGCACTCCTTACATGGCACGGCAAGAGAAAATGAGGAAGAAGCAAAAGCAGAAACCCCTCATAAACCCATCAGATCTCGTGAGACTTACTATCACAAGAATAGCACAGGAAAGTAGTTTTTTCCAGTTCTGTGAAGAAAGGCATTGGTAGCTTGATGGGGATGGCATTGAATCTGTAAATTACCTTGGGCAGTATGGCCATTTTCATGATATTGATTCTTCCTACCCATGAGCATGGAATGTTCTCCCATTTGTTTGTATCCTCTTTTATTTCATTGAGCAGTGGTTTGTAGTTCTCCTTGAAGAGGTCCTTCACATCCCTTGTAAGTTGGATTCCTAGGTATTTTATTCTCTTTGAAGCAATTGTGAAGGGGAGTTCACTCATGATTTGGCTCTCTGTTTGTCTGTTGTTGGTGTATAAGAATGCTTGTGATTTTGGTACATTGATTTTGTATCCTGAGACTTTGCTGAAGTTGCTTATCAGCTTAAGGAGATTTTGGGCTGAGACAATGGGGTTTTCTAGATATACAATCATGTCGTCTGCAAACAGGGACAATTTGACTTCCTCTTTTCCTAACTGAATACATTTTATTTCCTTCTCCTGCCTAATTGCCCTGGCCAGAACTTCCAACACTATGTTGAATAGGAGTGGTGAGAGAGGGCATCCCTGTCTTGTGCCAGTTTTCAAAGGGAATGCTTCCAGTTTTTGCCCATTCAGTATGATATTGGCTGTGGGTTTGTCATAGATAGATCTTATTATTTTGAAATACGTCCCATCAATACCTAATTTATTGAGAGTTTTTAGCATGAAGGGTTGTTGAATTTTGTCAAAGGCTTTTTCTGCATCTATTGAGATAATCATGTGGTTTTTGTCTTTGGTTCTGTTTATATGCTGGATTACATTTATTGATTTGCGTATATTGAACCAGCCTTGCATCCCAGGGATGAAGCCCACTTGATCATGGTGGATAAGCTTTTTGATATGTTGCTGGATTCGTTCTGCCAGTATTTTATTGAGGATTTTTGCATCAATGTTCAACAAGGATATTGGTCTAAAATTCTCCTTTTTGGTTGTGTCTCTGCCCGGCTTTGGTATCAGGATGATGCTGGCCTCATAAAATGAGTTAGGGAGGATTCCCTCTTTTTCTATTGATTGGAATAGTTTCAGAAGGAATGGTACCAGTTCCTCCTTGTACCTCTGGTAGAATTCGGCTGTGAATCCATCTGGTCCTGGACTCTTTTTGTTTGGTAAGCTATTGATTATTGCCACAATTTCAGATCCTGTTATTGGTCTATTCAGAGATTCAACTTCTTCCTGGTTTAGTCTTGGGAGAGTGTATGTGTCGAGGAATTTATCCATTTCTTCTAGATTTTCCAGTTTATTTGTGTAGAGGTGTTTATAGTATTCTCTGATGGTAGTTTGTATTTCTGTGGGATCGGTGGTGATATCCCCTTTATCATTTTTTATTGCGTCTATTTGATTCTTCTCTCTTCTTTTCTTTATTAGTCTTGCTAGCGGTCTATCTACTTTAAAGTTCATATGGAACCAAAAAAGAGCCCGCATTGCCAAGTCAATCCTAAGCCAAAAGAACAAAGCTGGAGGCATCACACTACCTGACTTCAAACTATACTACAAGGCTACAGTAACCAAAACAGCATGGTACTGGTACCAAAACAGAGATATACATCAATGGAACAGAACAGAGCCCTCAGAAATAACTCCGCATATCTACAACTATCTGATCTTTGACAAACCTGAGAAAAACAAGCAATGGGGAAAGGATTCCCTATTTAATAAATGGTGCTGGGAAAACTGCCTAGCCATATGTAGAAAGCTGAAACTGGATCCCTTCCTTACACCTTATACAAAAATCAATTCAAGATGGATTAAAGACTTAAACGTTAGACCTAAAACCATAAAAACCCTAGAAGAAAACCAGGGATTACCATTCAGGACATAGGCATGGGCAAGGACTTCATGTCTAAAACACCAAAAGCAATGGCAACGAAAGCCAAAATTGACAAATGGGATCTAATTAAACTAAAGAGCTTCTGCACAGCAAAAGAAACTACCATCAGAGTGAACAGGCAACCTACAAAATGGGAGAAAATTTTCACAACCTACTCATCTGACAAAGGGCTAATATTCAGAATCTACAATGAACTCAAATTTACAAGAAAAAAACAAACAACCCCATCAAAAAGTGGGCGAAGGATATGAACAGACACTTCTCAAAAGAAGATATTTATGCAGCCAAAAAACACATGAAAAAATGCTCACCATCACTGGCCATCAGAGAAATGCAAATCAAAACCACAATGAGATACCATCTCACACCAGTTAGAATGGCAATCATTAAAAAGTCAGGAAACAACAGGTGCTGGAGAGGATGTGGAGAAATAGGAACACTTTTACACTGTTGGTGGGACTGTAAACTAGTTCAACCATTGTGCAAGTCAGTGTGGCGATTCCTCGGGGATCTAGACCAAGAAATACCATTTGACCCAGCCATCCCATTACTGGGTATATACCCAAAGGACTATAAATCATGCTGCTATAAAGACACATGCACACGTATGTTTATTGTGGCATTATTCACAATAGCAAAGACTTGGAACCAACCCAAATGTCCAACAATGATAGACTGGATTAAGAAAATGTGGCACATATACACCACGGAATACTATGAAGCCATAAAAAATGATGAGTTCATGTCCTTTGTAGGGACATGGATGAAATTGGAAATCATCATTCTCAGTAAACTATCGCAAGAACAAAAAACCAAACACCGCATATTCTCACTCATAGGTGGGAATTGAACAATGAGATCACATGGACACAGGAAGGGGAATATCACACTCTGGGGACTGTGGTGGGGTGGGGGGGCGAGGAGGGATAGCTTTGGGAGATATACCTAATGCTAGATGACGATTTAGTGGGTGCAGCGCACCAGCATGGCACATGTATACATATGTAACTAACCTGCACAATGTGCACAGGTACCCTAAAACTTAAAGTATAATAATAAAAAAAAAAAAAAGAATAGCACAGGAAAGACACGCCCCCATGGTTCAATTACCTCCCACTGGGTCCCTCCCACAACATGTGGGAATTCTGGGAGATACAATTCAAGTTGAGATTTTGGGTGAGGCCAAGCCAAACCATATCACACCACAGTTTGAAAATGTATAATATTAAATATTGTTTTTAACCACTTGAACTGCTAAAAGGTCTACTGCCTTAAACACATCAATCTGAGAACAGACTCAGACTATAGATAAAATTATTTATACACAACATATTTATGTGATTAATGCAATTTGGAAATAATATTAGCAGTTGCAACAGGTTTCACATCTTACTGTGAGGTATATTTTCTGCATTCCATTGATATTAATGATATCTGTGATATTTAGCATATTAACCTCTTTCACCCTAACAGCAGACTATTTGATAAAAACTAAACAGTACCCTGGATTCTCATAATTTTGTAGATAAAAAAACAGTCTATGATCTAATCTCTTGGCTTAATGACAATATAACGAAACTAAATTATTGAAATGCTGGCTCAAAGCTAGACTAACTGATTCATGCATGGTTCTGATTTGGAAGGCAGTTTGATAAAGAGAAATTATTCTAGGTCATTATTAAAGACAAAAAATTTTAATGCACTAAGTGTGAGATTTACTGCTGCTTACTTAAGTAAAAATCAAAGCACCTTTTACTGACTTGTGATAATGAGATCACCATTTATACTGCCATTGCCTTTATTTTCAAGTTTTCAGACTTTCAACTATTTTTACACTATTGGTGATGTAATAAAATTAAAAATCTAATTTATTTCAGCATGAATTATTGAGATATGCATCATAGTCATAAGAAGAAAATGCACGTTTCTGAGTACACTGTAGCAAGTAATAGATCTTGAATTAGTATTTATTCAAAATGTGCATTAGTATTCATTTATTCAAAATACCTATTATATGCCTACATCATGTTTGCTAGTATTTGCATAAATAAGCATTTCTATTTTAATAATGTTCAACTTTTTGCAAGTAAACAAATGATGAATCTGTGTCACCAAATAGCATATATTTAAAAAATTATAATAAGAATTTAGACATTGAAAATCTCCTATATCTGATCAGCCCATTCACAATGTTGCTTTCTGCCTTTCATCACAAATTAAAAACTAGGAAATTCTTAGAATCCTGATAAAAGGTTTAAATGTTAATATAATAATATTCCTCTGTGCTATTTATACAGAAGTAAGATGTTAAGTAGAATAAAAGATATTTATAAGTATTAATACCAATTTTCACCAAAAATAGTCATATCTATGAACTTCTAATGACAAATTGGAATTTTAACTGACAATGTTTTTGTCCCAGTACAGGTTATCATTCTTAAAAGTATTACCCTATCTAATACATTTTTGGTTATTTTTATTCTATTTACAAAGGATGTAGTATCTCATTTGTCTTGAAAATAGCTCAGTGAGAATTTTTATCACTAGTGACCAGGTATTTTTCATCAGAATTATATATAAATTACAAGGATTTATAATCAGAAAAATTGGTGCCAATAAGATTTTGGAGATAATTGAGTAGGAAGAGTCAAGAATCATTAGACCGATGGTTCTATGTTAGATAATTGTATGAATGTATATATTGAACATTTATTGACAAAAAGAATATGGAATAATGAGACACAGATTGTTATTGGAAATGGGGACACTAATAATGTAAATATTTGGAGTTCATGGCCTTCTAGGCAACAAGTGTCAGGTATTTTGGCAGCTAAAAAGTTAATCAGACTATTTGATTTATAATTCTAGCGATAATATTAAGATTGGTTTCCTAGTATTCACCTGAGTAGAACATTTTATATATATATATATATAAATATAATCACCTTGTGACTAAGACAAAACTAAATGTTAATATTGCTTTCCTCTAGCACCATAATGAATGAAGATAAAAGGGTAATATCCCTAGCTTATTGGGTAGTAAAATTTATAGTGTACTTCCCTGGAATTTAACTTCTGCAACACAGAATTTCTTGGTGGGTGAAAGCAGGAAATGAGACAGGCTAGTGATTATGTTGCAGAAATTAAATCCAAGTAAGTATAGCCAAAACACAGGGACTCACTTCTTCTATCTAACATCCAGGTATGGCAGGTCAAGAATACCAGGAACCTGATTACTGTCACTCCAACTTGCTCATAAGGATAAAGTTCCACATTAAGAGAGACAAGCCAAGAAGAGCAGAAAATATTGCCCACGCAAAGCACTATTCTCATAAAGTAGAGATGCTACTCCAATAGAAATAGGTCATTATTCCTGCACACAGCTCTGGAGCAGTGACTCAGAGGTTTTATCCAGACGTAGAGGCAGACCATCAGAATTGAGAGCTCCAAAGATTTCCCCAAGGTAACTGACATTATTTGAAACAGTGGGAAAAGTTCAAGCCTAAGGGTGCACTCAGTAAAAAAGATTTTGGAAGTAAACAATTAAAAAGAGGCTGGCAGATCCATGAGAGCAATAAGCTAAGCAATATACAAGCAAATTTATTGAGAGAACCAAGGAAAGATGTAGGTAAGAAGAGTCTTCCTAAGGTCAGAGCAAATCAAGAAGACTGGCCTCAAATATTGCCTTAATAAAGGGGACCAAATGTAATTAAATCAGACTTTGGAGAACTTCATGCCCAAGGGAATTCATGAAAATGTCACCCAAAAGACCACCAGTATGGCTATATTGTAGAAAGGAGAGCTTTATTGGCTATACTAGTGTGCAAGCTGAGAAGAGGAAGTCTCCAGCATGCGCCAAAGATGCTCTTTCTTTGAAGAAAGTAAGGACAGATTGGGTTTAATACCTCACAGGGCTAGTATCATATATATTCGGCAGGTTTGGGAAGAAAAGGACACAAAAATGGTGTATGTACAGCTTCTAAAACCTGGCTGAAACTGGTTTAAGGTGTGCAAATAGCTTATCCAAACAAACAAACAAACAAAAAAAACGGCTGTAAAATAGGTCCTCTGTCCAGTCAGATTTGCAGTTGCCTGGGTTGTAAATTAGCCTGATCGCTCCATTTGTTAGGGATTTTAGCCATAGAAATTTAAAAATCTGCCATGCCAGCCAGACTTATCTCTCAACCCATAAGTATCTTGGTTTCCTTAACCTAAGACTCCATCTGAGTTGATAAAGAGATGTCTACTTTAATCCCCCAGATCACAAGGACTATATATCAATCAGCAAACATTTATAGATCCTAACAGCTGGGTGACAGCAATAAAGGGAACCAACTTAATAGAGAAGTCAGAGAAAAAACATTCAAAGGGAGTTCCGCTAAAACTATTGTTATTCAGAATGACTGTCCCCAGAATCAATGGAGAAATCAGTGAAATCATTTAAAAAACCATACTTATTGCAAAGAGCAACTATAAGAAAGCTGGAATGGTTTTATCAACATGCAAAAAAGTCTAAATAAAAAAATTACTAGAGATAAAAAGAAACATTTTATAATACTGATAGGGTAATTCATAAGGAAGATATAACAATTATAAACATATGCAAATAAATAGATAATTCCACAATGATAATCAGAGATGCAAATAACTAATTTTCCATAATGGATACAATTGTGCAGACCATCAACAAGGAAAGGAAAGACTTGAAAATACTATGCACCAAGTAGTTCTAACAGATATCTATAGACAACCCACCCAATAGCAGCTGAATATGAATTATTCTGAAGTACAAATGGAGCATTGAAAGGATAGACAATAAAAAAGCCTCAATAAGTTTAAATCATAAAATCAAAGTATGTACCCTCAAACCACAGTATAATTAAATTGGGAATCCAGAATACAAAGACATTTAGGAATCACAAATGTGTAGAAATAAAACAATAAAATCCTAAATAATCAAGGGATTTGGTATGGTTTGGCTGTGTCCCCAGCCAAATCTCATCCTGAATTGTAGTTCCAGTAATCCCCACAGGTTGTGGGAGTTACCAGGTGGAGATAATTGAATCACAGGGGCCGTTTTCCCCATCCTGTTCTCATGATAGTGGGTTAGTTCTCAGAAGATCTGATGGTTTTTATGAGAGGGTTCCCCTTCACTGGGTATTCATTCGCTCCCCTGCCACCAGGTGAAAAAGGATGTGCTTGCTTCTTCCTCTGCCATGATTGTAAGTTTCCTGAGGCCTCCCTAGCCATGCTAATCTGTGAGTTAATTAAACCTCTCTCCTTTATAAATTACCCAGTCTCGGGTATGTCTTTATTCGCAGTGTGAGAATGGATTAATACAGTAAATTGATACCAGGTAGTGGAGTGCTGCTTCAAAGATAACCAAAAATATGGAAGTGGCTTTGGAACCGGGTAACAGGCAGAGGATGGAGCAGTTTGGAGGGCTCAGAAAAGAGGAAAATGTGGGAAAGGTTGGAATTTCCTAGAGACTTGTTGAATGTATTTGACCAAAATGCTGATAGTAATATGGACAATAAAGTCCAGGCTGAAGTGGTCTCAGATGAAGATGAAGCACTTCTTGGGAACTGGAGCAAATTGTTGTTATGTGTTAGCAAAGAGACTGGCGGCATTTTGCCCTGCCATAGAGATCTGTGGAACTTTAAACTCAAGAGAGATGATTTGGGGTATCTGGAAGAAGACATTTCTAAGCAGCAAAGCATTCAAGAGGTGACAGAGCATAAAAGTTTGGAAAATTTGCAGCCATATGATGCGGTAGAAACAAAAAAAAATTTCTGGGGAGAAATTCAAGCCAGCTGCAGAAATTTGCATAAGTACTAGGAGCCAAATCACCAAGACAATGGGGAAAATGTCTCCAGGGCATGTCAGAGACCTTTGCTCCCATCACGGGTTCAGAGGCCTAGGAGGAAAAAATGATTTTGTGGGCTGGGTCTGGGGTCCCCCTGCTGTGTGCAGCTTACAGATTTGGTACCCTGCATCCCAGCTGCTGTAGCCATGGCTAAAAGGGACCATACAACTTGGGCTGTGGCTTCAGAGGGTGCAAGCCCCAAACCCTGCACCTTCCACATGGTGTTGAGCCTGTGGGTGCACAGGAGACAAGAACTGAGGTTTGTGAACTTCTGCCTAGATTTCAGAGGATGTATGGAAACATGTGGTTGCCCAGGCAGAAGTTTGTTGCAGGGCAGAGCCCTCATGGAGAACCTCTGCTAAGGTAATATGAAAGAGAAATGTAGGGTCAGAGCCCCCACTCAGAGTCCCCACTGGAGTACTGCCTAGTGGAGCTGTGAGAAGAGGGCCACTATACTCCAGACCCCATAATGGTAGATCCACTGACACCTTGCACTATGCACCTGGAAAAGCCACAGGCACTGAATGTCAGCCCATGAAAACAGCTGGGAGCGGGGGCTCTACCCTGCAAAACCACAGGGGCAGAGCTGCCCAAGAATGTGGGAGCCCACCTCTTGCATCAGCATCACTTGGATGTGAGACATGGAGTCAAAGGAGATAATTTTGGACTTTTAATATTTATGACTACCCTATTGGATTTTGGACTTGCATGGGGCCTGTAGCCTCTTGGTTTTGGCCAATTTATCCCATTTGGAATAGGTATATTTACCTAATGCCTGTACCTCCATTGCATCCAGGAAGTAACTAACTTACTTTTGATTTTACAGACTTGTAGGGGGAAGGGACTTGCCTTGTCTCAGATGAGACTTTGGACTTGGATTTTTGAGTTAATGCTGGAATGAGTTAAGAATTTGGGGCACTGTTGGAAGGGCATGATTGTGTTTTGGAAAGTGAGGACATGAGATTTGGGAGGGGCTAGTGGTGGAATAATATAGTTTGGCTGTGTCCTCACCCATATCTCATCTTGAATTGTAGTTTCCATAATCCTCATGTGTCATGGAAAGGACCAGGTAGAGATAATTAAATCATGTAGGCGATTTCACCCTTCCTGTTCCAGTGGTAGTGAGTTAGTTCTCAGTAGATCTGATGGTTTTATAAAGGGCTTTCCCCTTCACTGGGCACTCATTCTCTCTTCTGCCACAATGTGAAGAAGGACATATTTGCTTCCCCTTCTGCCATGATTGCAAGTTTCCTGAGGCCTCCTCAGCCATGCTGAACTGTGTGAGTCAATTAAACCTCTTTCCTTTATAAATTACCCAGTTGCAGTTATGTCTTTATTAGGAGTGTGAGAGTGGACTAATACAGGATTTAAGAGTAAATAACAAGAAAAAATTAAAATCACTTTGAAAATTAAAAAATATGGTTGCACCTAAAGCAGTGCTTAGAGGGCAAGATATATCGTAAAAGACTGCAAAAGAAGAAAGTTTACAAATCAATGACCTAATTGTACAGGTTGTAACAGTGGAAAAGGAAGAATTAATGACATAGAATTCACCGAAATGAAGGAAATTATATTATTAGAGCTTAAATTAAAGGATTGGAGAATAGAATAAATAGAGAAATATACGACAGTAAGTGTTGGTTCATCAAAGCAATAAAAAAATTTGCAAGTATTTACCTACACTAAGTAAAAACAGGGAGATGTAGCAGATTACTAGCAATGGAATTGGGACATAACTGATACCAGTGGGCTGGGAGACATTCCCAAATGTTGGTGGGACATCAACTTAGCCAGTGTCCATGCCCTTGACACCAAGATGAGAAGAAATTCAAGGATGAGTCAGAAAATAGTGAAAGTGCAAAGATTTATTGCAAAGGGAAGAATACACACACAAGAAAGGGGATTGGGGGCCAACTCAAGAAAGACGTGCAATGGGGTTTATGATTTCTACTTGTATAGGTTTCTTTAAGGGGTGGAGTATTCATGAAACTTCCTTGAAAAAGGTGGAGATTTCTCAAAACTGTGGTGCCATCAATTTTACATCAAATATGGGTGTTCTCAGGACTTTCATGGTGCTTGTGGGTCTGTGAGTTAGTATGTTAATGAGTGCATAATAATGTCCTTGGTGAAACCTAGGTCAAATCCAGTGCCTTGTTTGCTCTGGAGCCATGTTTGTTCTTAGCCAGCTTGGTCCACACATTTGTTTTTTAAGGTCTTATCAGCCGCATTGCCTTTAGTCTTGTGAAACTGCTGCTTGAAATTTTTTATTCTTCTGTGATGACCCTGTATTATTCCTATCTCATTAACTACTAACTTAAAATAATTTTTTATTACAATGGACTATAATGGAATCCCATATAAGTGAATACTACGAATGACTGTACAGAAACACATTAAATAGGCTAGATGTAATAAAACACATTCTAGACTGGCACAACTACCAAACCAAACCCAAGAAAAACTAGAAAACCTGAGGTCCATGCCTTAAATAGGTTTTTTTAAAAAAATGAATTGATAATTTAAAAATTTCCCACAAAGAAAAGCTCAGGCCCAAGAAGGATCACTTATGCATTCTTCCAGACATTAAGGAAGAATTAACACCACAAGCCATTCAAAAAACTAAGGGATGTAAATATTTCTGAATGCATTACATGAGGTCAGTGTTACTTCCCAGCTCATTGCATAAGGTCAGAATTAGCCTTCTATCCAAACCTGAGAAAAATATCACAAGAAAACTACCAAGCAATTAGATGGTATATTATACATCTACTAGGATGGCTACAATAAAAATAAAAACCAATAACAAGTGTTAAGGATGTGGAAAAATTGAAATCAATTTCTCATTCATATTTAATTTCTCAATTTTATATTCAACCAATGTGGTTGAAGCCACATTGAAAATCTGTCTGGTAGTTCCTCACAATTTTAAAAATAGGGTTGTCATATGATCTCACAATTCCACTCTTAGGCATATGTTCAAGAGAAATTTTTAAATATTTATATAAAAGCTAGTACATCTATATTCACAGCATGTTATTTATCATTTATTATAGCCAAAAGTGGAGAAAAAAAAAGTAAATGTTCATCACCCGATTAATGAATAAATAACAATATATACTCATAAAATTGAATATTATTTTACTATAAAAAATGAAGTATTGATACTTTTACAGCATGAACCTGGAATATATTTATTAAGTAAAAGAGTCAATCAAACATGATCATATATTATATGACTGTATTTATAAAAAACTGTCCAGGACTGTAACTTTCTTTTCCTGTATTCTCCTTGTCTGGCTTTGATATCAAGGTAATGTTGATTTAATAGAATGAAAGTATTTCCTCTCTTCTAATTTTTTGGAAGATTTTGATAAAAATTCATACTAATTTTTTAAATATTTGTTAGAATTCAGCAATAAAGCCATTAGGTCCTGAATTTTTCCTTGTTCGGAGACCATTTATTACCAATTCAGTCTCTTTAATCATGATTGGTCTGTTAGATTTTCTCATTCTTCATGATTCAATCTTGGTAGGTTGTTTGTGTCTAAAATATTTTCTGTTTTTCTAGGTTATCCAATCTTTTTGGTGTATATAATTGCTAAGAGTATTATCTTATTATCCTTCCCTTGTATTTCTACACTACCAGTTGTAATATCTCCTTTTTCATTTTTAATTTTATTTACTTGAACCTTTCTCTTTTTCCTTAGTCTAAATGTGTGTTAATTTTTCTGTATTAAAAATGACTTTTAACTACATTGTTTTAAAATTGTTTTTGTAGTCTCTATTTAATCTATTTCTTTTCTGGTCTTTATTATTTATTTTCTTCTACTGAATTTGGGTTTAGTTTGTTCTCTTTCTAATTCCTTGAGGTGAACTTAGTTTATTTGAGTTCTTCTTTTTAATGTAGGCATTTATTGCTATAAACTTTCCTCTTAGAACAGCTTTTGTTGTATCCCATATGACATGGTATGTTATATTTCTCTTTTATTGTCTCAGGATATTTTTAAATTTTCCTTTTGCATTATTCTTAAACTCCTTGGTTGTACTGAACAATGTTCTTTAAATTCCATAGACGTCTTTTACAAATTTCCTCTTGTATTGATTTATAATTTCATCCCATTGTGGTGGAATGATTTGACAGATACTTTATGTAATTTCAGATTTCTTAAATTCGTTAAGGCTTCTTATGTTTCCTAATATTTTTTCTATCCTGGAAAATGTTTTGTATGCAGCTGAGAAAAATGTGTACTCTGCAGCTATTGGATGGAATGTTTGTATATATCTGTTGTGTTCATTTTGTCTAAAGTTTAGTTCGAATCTAACATTTTCTAATTGATTTCATGTCTGGATAACCTGTTCAGTTTTGAAAGTGGTGTATTGAAATTACCTACTTTTATTGTGTTGCAGTCCATCTCACTCTTCATATATATTAATATTTGCATTGTATATTCAGGTGCTCCAATTTTTGGTGCATATATATTTAAATGTTACATAACTTGATGAATTGACTCCTTTATCAATATATAATGATTGCTTTTGTCTCTTTTTACAGTTTTTTACTTAAAGCCTATTTTGTCTGATACAAGTATATTCACCTCTTCTCTCTTTAGCTCCATTTGCATAGAATCACTTTTTCTATCATTTTCAGTTTATATGTGTTCTCATGAAGGGTAATGTAAATCTCTTGTTGGCGGCCTATTTTTGAATCTTTTTGTTTTGTTTTGTCTTAATTTATTTAACCTTTGCGTCTTTTGATTGGAAAATTACTTCATTAATATTTAAAGAAATTTTTGACACATCATACCGTACTACTGCCATTTTGTTAATTGTTTACTGACTCCTTGGAATTTTATTTATTCCTTTTTTTTCAATATTGCTGTCTTCCTTTATGATATTTTAAATTTTTGCAGTGGTATGCTTTGATCCTTTTCTCTTTATCTTTTGTATTTGTACTTGGCCTTTTTATTAGTAGTTACTATGGGGCTTACATAAAGCATTTTTATAATATTCTAGATTGCAAAATCTCTACAATTTTACTTCTCTCCTCTTTTTTGTTTTATGCTACTGATGTCGAACTTGACATGTCTTTTTATATTGCACATCATTAACTAATGATTGTAGCTATTTTTTAAAAATACTTTTGACTTTTAGGTCTTATACCAGAGTTAAAAGTAATTTATACACCACAATTACAGCATTAGAGTATTCTGAATTTTGACTCTATTTTACTGTTACCAGTTATTTTATAATGTCATGTTTTTATGTTGGTACTTAGTGACCTTTTGTTTTAACTTGAAGAATTCCCTTAAGCATTTCTTGTAAAGCTGGTCTTTAGTGATGAATTCCATCAGCCTTTGTTTGTATCGGAATGTTTTTATTTTTTCTTCATATCCTAAGGACCACTTTGCCAGTTATGGTATTCTAGCTTGACAATTACTTTTTTCTTAGCAGTCTGAATATATTATCCTGCTCTTTCCTGGCTTGCAAGGTTTCTGTTGAGGAGTGTGCTGATAGCCTTATATGAGACAGTTTATACGTCACAAATCTCTATTATCTTGCTATCGCTATTTGACTTTTGATAATTTCATTATATTGTGTTTCAGACTATTATTCTTTGGAATTATCATGCTTGGACGTTTTTTGAGCTTCATGGTTCTGGATGTCAATATTTTTTCCAAGATTTGGGAAGCTTTCAGACATTATGTCCTCAAATAAGCATTTTTTGTTTGTTTGTTTGTTTGTTTTGTTTTTAGAGTTTCGCTTGGTTGCCCAGGCTGGAGTGCAGTGGTGCAATCTCGGCTCACTGCAAACTCTGCTGCGCTTCCCGTGTTCAAGCAATTCTCTTGCCTCAGCCTCCCAAGTGGCGGGGACTACAGGCATGTGCCATCATACCCGGCTAATTTTTGTATTTTTAGTAGAGACGGGGTTTTAACATGTTGGCCAGGCTGGTCTCAAACTCTTGATCTGCCTGCCTCGGCCTCCCAAAGTGCTGGGATTACAGGTGTGAGCCATTCCGCCTGGCCAATAAGCATTATTCTTTTTTTCTCTCACTCTTATCCTTGGAGAGTGCCATAAATCATGTATTTGTACATTTGATGGTGTCCCAATGGTCCCTCATGTTTTCTTCATTCTTTTTCATTTGTTTTCTTTTTATTCCTCTAACTATTTGATTTCAAATGACCTGTCTTTGAGTTCACTAACTTTTTGTTTTGGATGATCAAATTTGCTGTTGAAGGTCTACAATGAGTTTTTCAGTTCTATCACTGTATTCTTCAGCTCCATAATTTCTGTTTGGTCCTTTTTAATGGTTTCTCTGACCTTATTAAACTTCTCATCTTGTTAATACATTGTTTTTCTTTTTTTATTTAGTCATCTGTGTTTTCTTGAATCTCACTGATTTTCTTTAAGATGTCTGTTTTGAATTTTTTCAGACATTCATAGATCTGCATATTATTGGGAATGATTACTTGAGTTTTATTAGTTTCCTTTGGTGGTATCATGTTTGTCTGATTTTTGCTATCTGTGAACCTTTGTGATAGTGTCTGTGCATTTGAAGGAGCAAATACATCTTAGTCTTTAAAGACTGGGTTTAACACTTTAGGGCCTTCTCCTGTCAGGGCTGAAGGACTGCCTCACAATCCTTGTGGTGACAGGAGTTGGATCCAGATAATGCATCAGCCGTTGGATCTAGAGAAATCTGCAGTGGCTGTGAAGCTGGTGGGCTTGTTACTAGAGGCACTGGTTGGCATGACTTCTCTCTTGTCCCTAGGTGTCCTGGATTGTTTCCTGAACTTTGGCAAGTATGAGTGGCTCTAGTATGAGAGTCTGCATGTTGCAGGCCTATTACCAATTGTATAAAAAGGTGTGGCTCCCTCCAGGTCTCTCAATAGGCTCCCATATTCACAGTTTTATTTCTGGATTCTCTGTTTTATTTGTCTACATGTCTGTATTTATGCCCATATGATAGTGTTTTGATTACTGCAGTTTTGTAATATGTTTTGAAATCAGGAAGTGTGCAGCTTCAATCTTTATTCTTTATCAAGATTGTTTTGTGTATTTGGGGGATCCATTTTTGCTCCATAAAAACTTTAGATTTTTTTTTCTATTTCTGTAATAAATTCCATCAGAGTTTTGTAGGGATTTCATTAAATCTGTATCTTACTTTGGGCAGTATGAACATTTGAACAATATAATGTTTTCCAATCCATGAGCACAAGTTGTCTTTTCATTTATTTGTATCTTTTGCTTCTGAGGGTGCCAAAAATACACAATAGAAAAAGTGTAGTTTCTTCAATGAATAATATTGGGATAATTGGATATTAACATGCAAAAAAGTGAAATTGGATCCTTATCTTTCACAATGCAAGAGAATCAACTGAAAATGAATTAATATTCAAACATAAAATCTGAAAATGTAAAATATGAGAATCAATTATTAATGTTGATCTTTTCAATGATTTAATGGATATGAAACTGAAACACAGACAACAAAAGCAATAATAAAGAAGAATGAATATATCAAGCTAAAAAGCTTTGGTATAGCAAAAGAAACGATCAACAGAGTGAAAACTCAGACAGTGAAATGGAAGAAAATATTTGCAACCATACAGCTGATAAAGAGTTAATATCCAAAACATATAAACACTCCAACTACCCTAATTTTTTGAAATTTTTTGGTTTCTTTTTGAACCAAAAGGAAGAACAAATAAACTAATTGGAAAATGGGCAAAGAATATAATTAGATATTTCTCAAAGTAGACCCACAAATTGCCAACAGGGATATACGTAAAGATGCTCAACATCAACAATCATAAGGGAAATAAAAATTGAAATCACAATGAAATATCATCTCACCTCCATTGAAATGATTATTATCAAAAAAGAAACAAAGAAACAGAAATAACAAGTATTGGAAAGGATATGAAGAAATTTGGACTCTTGTGCACTCCTAGTGGAAATGCAAAATGGTACAGCCACTACAGAAAAAATGTATGCAGGTTAATAAAAATATTAAAAATAGAACTACCATATGATACATGAATCCCACTTCTGGGTATTTATTTTTTTCAAATGAAAATCAGGATCTTGAAGATATACTTGCACTCTCATATTCATTGCAAATGTACTCACAATCCTTAAGAGGTAAAAACAACCTCAATGTTAATCATGGAATCAACGAAAAAAAGAAATGGGGTTTAATCACACAGGGAATTATTTAGCCATATAAAAGTAAAGAAAATATTATACGCTACAACATGAATGAAGGTTGATAACATTAATGCTAAATGAAACCAGCCAGTCATAGAAGGACATATACTGCATGATTTCACTTATATGAGGTGCTTAAAGTGGTGAAACTCATCAAAGAAGAAAGTAGGATGGTGTTTGCCAGGGATTATGGGGAGGAAATAGGTATAAAATTATAGTCATGTGAGGTAAAAATGTCCAGAGATCTGCTGTGGAACATTTTGTTTATAATGAACAATACTGTACTATACACTTAAAATTTATAAATATTGATATCATGCTTTTTTTTTTTTTTGAGATGGAGTCTTGCTCTGTCACCCAGGCTGGAGTGCAGTGGCGTGATCTCCGCTCACTGCAAGCTCCGCCTCCCGGGTTCACGCTATTCTCCTGCCTCAGCCTCCCGAGGAGCTGGGACTACAGGTGCCCGCCACCACGCCCAGCTAATTTTTGTATTTTGTTTAGTAGAGATGGGGTTTCACCGTGTTAGCCAGGATAGTCTCGATCTCCTGACCTCGTGATCCACCCGCCTTGGCCTCCCAAAGTGCTGGGATTACAGGCGTGAGCCACCACGCCCGGCCGAAATTATGTTATTTTTTACCACAATAAAAAATATACACCAATCAAAACTGTCAAAAATAAAGAGATGAAATTGCAATTATAACTGGATATTTAAAAACTCATATCTTAATAATTTACTGAATAAGTATTAGAAAGAGACTGAGAATTGGAACTATATTATTAACCATCTTGATCTACTTGATGTTTACAGGAAACCACACCTAAAACTGAAGAATACGCATTCTTTTCAAAGACTCATGAGACATTGACAAGGCAGTCTGTATTTTGCAGAATAAAACAAGCCTCAATAAATTTCAAATGACTGAAATAATTAAAAATCTTTCATCCTAAGTCTTAGGATACTACTCTATTTCTATCAGTAACCTGTATCTTCAGCTTGTTTAAAACTCTGTTACCTTATGAGAATAAACTGTTCCTAATTTGCAGTCTTTTGAGGCCTGTGACTTCAATAGAGGATCACATTAAATATTTAAATCAAAATATTCTAATTTTTACAGTGGCTTGAGATAATAGTTTGCTTAGAATTTTGTAGTTAACAAAATTCATCCAACCACAATTATCATTGCCCTCATACCATTTAAATTACAAAACTATCACATCATTTAACAATTGATGATCTGGACGGATGCAGTGGCTCAAGCTTGTAATCCCAGCACTTTGAGAGGCCGAAGACGATAGATCACCTGAGGTCAGGAGTTGGAGACCTGCCTGGCCAACATGGTGAAAGCCCGTCTCTACTAAAAATACAAAAAATTAGCCACGCGTGGTGGTGTGTGCCTGAAGTCCCAGCTACTTGGGAGGCTGAAGCATGAGAATCGCTTGAACCTGGGAGGCAGAGGCTGCAGTGAGCTGAGATTGCGCCACTGTACTCCAGCCTGGGCAACAGAGTGAGACTCCGTCTCAAAACAAAACAAAACTATTAATGATTTACTTGTATTTTATCAATCCACTACATGTGATTATCTTAGCGAATATGAAACTACTAAATGACTAGCTACTTTCACCTCCCCACTTCCTCCCAGCAATATGGGCTTCATTGTTGTCTCAATAAGTGATCCAGATTCAAATTCCTTAATAACGTTCCACATTTAAGATTTACATTTGGTATCCCTGTTATTTCTCAGATCCTTTCAGACTGAGAGCTTGAAACAAAGGTTTGCACAAAGCTAATTTATTGGAGAAGTGATATTGTGGAGTAGGAGTGAGCAAACAGGGAGTAGAGAAGAAAATAAGGAAAAACCAATGCATGTATGCAATAAAAAGTTGACAATAGCTATGCATGACAGGTGCTAAAGTTACTGGAAAATTGTAAAAAACCTTATGAAATGCATCTCAGAATTGTCTGCCAGGGGCACTAAATAAAGAAGCACTATCTCTTAGTTCCCATACATCATTGATTAAAGATAACATTTTGATACATTTTAAGATTTTGTCTAAGTTAGTCCTGAAATGGGTTCTCAGATTGTACCACATCACAAAATCAAAGAAATCTTGGGACAGAAAGCAAGCATTGCAAGGCACTGCCTTCCTGCTTCTATGCAATGTAACTAGAAGACTGCTTAGTCAGGAAACAACAGATGCTGGAGAGGCTTGCAGAGAAATAGTAACACTTTCACACTGATGGTGGGAATGTAAATTAGTTCAACCATTGTGGAAAATGGTGCAGTAATGTGTAAAAGATGTAGAACCAGAAATACCATTTGACCCAGTAATCCAATTACTGGGTATATATCCAAAGGAATATAAATCATTCTATTATAAAGATACATGCACATATATGTTCACTGCAGTACTATTCACAATTTGGTACATATCCTCCATGGAATAATACTATGCAGCCATAAAAAAAAATGAGATCATGTCCTTTGCAGGGACATGTATAAAACTGGAAGCCATTATCCTCAGCAAACTAATGGAGGAATAAAAAACCAAATACTACATGTTTTCGCTCATAAATGGGAGCTAAACAATGAAAACATATGGATACAGAGAGGGGAACAACACACACTGGAGCCTGCTGGGTGAAAGCCAGAGGGAGGGAGAGAGAGCATTAGGGAAAAGAGTTAATGCATGCTGGGCTTAATACGTAGGTGACAGGTTGATAGGTGCAGCAAATTATCATGGCACATGTTTACCTATGGAACAAACCTGCACATCCTGCACATGTGTCCTGGAATTAAATAAATAAAATAATTTTAAATAAAAGAACTGATCATGTAGAAGAAATTGGGACAAGAGGTGCATGGAGGAGATATATAGTTGTGCATAAGAGAAGTTTCATATAGGCATTCATTTAAAAAAATATCCTGGAACTTAAAATGACAAACAATGATTCCTTGTATATCACCCAAAGAGTTCCACAATCCAAGTGACTGTAATTCCAGAAAAAGTTAAGTAGAGGAGAAGAAATTAATACTTTTAAAAGTCAAGGATGACAATGCTTCTTGTGAAATTTATTTCTCACTCTTCTGCTAGCATTTTGAGTTGAGATTTTAGTTTATTAACGTTGATGCAATCATTTTTATTGACATAAAGTATACAAATATTACTTTTTATTTGACCATTGCTTTAAATGTATTTTAAATATTCTGAAATGAAAATGTTTAAACAGACATAATTGCCAAGTTATTAAATTTTCTGTGCCTCTTACTTTTGTGGAGTCTTTTTGCTTTTTAAAAATTATTTTGGTATTGAGGAAGCTTTATATTCTTACTTATTCTTTCTCTATTGCCTGATTTTTCTTATTCTCTTCTATTTATTATTGAATTTGCCTTTTTAAATGACATTCTCTGACTTTTATCTGTTATCTGTAAACATCCAATAATCTTTTTCTATTTCTCCTTTATCCATCTTTTCTGGTCCCATGTTTTTTCGTTGTAGTCTTTCTACTTTGTTCGAACCTGGAATGTTTACACACTATTCGTCCACTCACATTTCTGCATATTTTTACTCATATCTGAAAATAAATATATTAACTGTTCACTATATTCATTTTTTCTGCAATTTCCCTAATTATCTCTTGGTCGGATGAAATTAATTCTCTAGTCTGCAAAAATGTTTAATGTATACAGTATTCCCTTTTGTTTGTTTTGTTGTTGATTTTTGTGTTTTTTAATTTGTTGCTTTGTTTTTCTGTTTGAAAAAATGGGTGGCTCGAAGGCAGATAGAGAACATACAAAATTAGCCTGGAATATCTTCTGCCAAAAGTAAGAGAGTGCCCAAGAACAAGATAGAGGCATGTGAAAAGGACAGAGAAGCCAGCATTAAGGAGCATCTATTGACCAAATATTGAAAAATTTTTAAATGAAAATCAGTAAGATCAGTAATGGATTACAACCTATTGAATACAAAATGGAAATTCATGTGTTCATACCACTGAGATAATGATAAATAAATACACAAATCTGTAAATTAAAAGGGAGTGAGTGAAATGTTGACTGAAAATGGGAAGAAAGTACTGGAGTTAGTCAATCACTATATTTCAATAACTATGGTAGATTGGTTTGGGCAATACTCATCAGAGGATACTAAGCATAAAGAGTAAAAATGTTATGACAAGCAATATATTTGAATGGAATGGTTCCAAAGTATCTCCCAAAAGATTGCTAATTAGATGTTAAAAATAATAATAATAATAACAATATGATGAAGAAACCTGAAACACTTTTACTTGGGTGATCAAAAGTAACAACAATATATCATTTGCCAAAAGCTGTGATACAGCTGTGTCCTCTAAAATGGATACAATAATATCACTTTTGCAGTATTTCAGACTGAAATATTATCCCCACATTAGAAAATAAATTTAGAAAGTCTTCACGGCCCAGGAATGCACCAGTAGAAAGTAGCGGGGCTAAAATCAAAGCTCAAGTATGAATATCTCTATATCTGTGTTCTTAACTATTATGCAGATAAGGGAATGAGACTTCCCTTTTATTTAGGATTGGGTAATGTTTCGCCTAATTTTCTTGCTCATATTTGTTACTTTCTAACTTTGAGATCACGGTCTCACTTACTTTTCAACTCTCAATCCTTTCTGATTATTAAACTGTTATTGTATTCACTATTTTCATCTCAACTCCTCAAATGGACAATTTACCTACACTTATCTCAGTTTTATCTTTTCATTGGCTAAACAATTACCCTAAAAATACGTCAGTGAAGAGACAAAGAAAGACAGATAATATGATTTCAAAAAATGATAACAAATCACAGCTCAAAAAAAATCTTAGAAGTAGAATTTAAAAGGCTATATAAATTTTTCTTCTCTGAATCTCAATCACTATTCTCTTGGACAATAATCTCTTAAACAGAAGAACAACATTGGCTCTAAGGAAGACTGTTCAGATGAAAATGTGATAAGGTAACAATGTAAACTATCTTCTACTTTTGTACCCAGAGTAGGACTAAAGAGCAAGAGTATTGGATGTTTAGTTACATTTAACAAAGCTTCCTTGATGCCCTATTTTGTGCTGGTACTGTATAGGCTCTGGAACTCTAAACATATAAACAGACACAATCCCTTCATCCAAAATGGTGGCTTAGGATCACAAAGTCCTTGTGTTTCTGCCTGCATATTTTGTGTGGTTGTGTAACAGCATGGCTCTCATTAACCAAAGTTTCATAATTCAGGATAAAGAAGATTCTAAATTATATTAGTAATTTTAGAACTCATAACGATATATGCTGAAATTAAATTTGTTTATTGACCAATGAATATAAAGTTAGATAATTCCTTCTGCAGAGTTCTATCCCCAGAGTTATTATTATATGGAATAAAATAGATAACTATAAAACTTCATGGAATTAAATGTGAAAAAAATTAGGCTCTAGAGATAGAAACTTGGCAAATTTTTTGAGTTCAAACTAAGATGTTAAAGTGTGGAATCAAAACAACCTTCCTTCACCACTACTTTACGAAAATAAATAATTTTTTTTCAATTTATGTAGAATATCTCTCTTTTTATACAGCATTTATTTATGAAGTGTGTTTTTGGAAGAAATGCTTTATAGTGGCATATTTTTAAACTTAATCAGGATTTAATTTATATTTACAGTTTTAAATAATCATTCTCAATTTTTTCAATCAACAGCAACAAATAATCTTGTCACCTATTATGTACCTATTTTTGAGATGTAAACAGGGACCTTAGAGAAGTTAACACATAATATTTACTTTAAAAAGTCTTATTATTTAGTTTGGGAGATAGTTAATGAGAATTTTCAGATTTTCAGCTGATTCATTATTAACTACCATGTAGGCATACATATTGAGGTGGATACGTACCAGTAAACTCACTTTCACACCATCCACTAGTTGTATAATAAATTAATATTTACTGTTATTCGTTCAGTGGTCCTAGTGAGGCTAAAGTCTAATTCTGAGTTGTGTAAAACAATGTGTCCTCTGAAAATTACATGTTGATGGCACTTCCACAACATTCAGGACATAGGCATGGGCAAAGATTTCATGATGAAAGCGCCAAAGCAATTGCAACAAAAGCAAAAATTGACAAACAGAATCTAATTAAACTAAGGAGAATCTGCATAGCAAAAGAAACAATTAACAGAGTAAACAGACAACGTATAGAATGGCAGAAAAGTTTTGCAAACTGTACATATGGCAAAGGTCTAATATCCAGCATCTATAAGGAACTTAAACAAATTTATGAGAAAAAACAAGCAACCCGATTAAAAAGTGGTCAAATGACATGAACTCACATGCAGCCAACAATCATATGAATAAAGGCTCAACATTAAAGATCATTAGAAAATGCAAACCAAAAGTACAATGTAATTCCATCTCGCACCAGTCAGAATGGGTATTATTAAAAAAATGACGGCTGGGCGCGTTGGCTTAATCCTGTAATCCCAGCGCTTTGGGAGGCCGAAATGGGCAGATCACGAGGTCAGGAGATCGAGACCATCCTGGCTAACATGGTGAAACCCATCTCTACTAAAAATACAAAAAATTAGCCAGGCATGTTGGCAGGCGCCTGTAGTCCTAGATACTCAGGAGGCTGAGGCAGGAGAAGGGCATGAACCCAGGAAGGGGAGCTTGCAGTGAGCCGAGATCGCACCATTGCACACCAGCCTGGGGGACAGAGCAAGACTTCATCTCAAAAAAAAATAATAATAATAATAAAAAAGTCAAAAGGGAAAAAAGATGCTTATACACTGTTCGTGATAGTGTAAATTAGTTAAACCATTGTGTAAGACAGTGTGGCGATTCCTCAAAGACCTAGAGGCAGAAATACCATTTTATGCAGCAATCCCATTATTAGGTATATACCTGATACAGTTTTGCTGTGTCCCCACCCAAATCTCATTTTGAATTATACTTTTCATAATCTCTACATGTCGTAGGAGGGAACCAATGGGAGGTAATTGAATCATGGGGGTGGTTACCCTCACGCTGTTCTCATATTGATAGTGAGTCAGTTATCATGAGAGCTGATGGTTTTATAAGGGGCTTTCCCTTCTTTGTTTGGCATTATTCTCTCCTGCCACCACATTAAGAAGGACACAGTTGCTTCCCCTTCTGCCATGATTGTAAGTTTCCTGAGGCCTCCCCAGCCATGCTGAATTGTGAGTCAATTAAACCTCTTTCCTTTATAAATTTCTGGGGCAGTTCTTTGTAGCAGCATGAGAACGGACTATTACAATATCTAAAGGAATATAAATCATTCTATTATAAAGATACATGCACACATATGTGCACTGTGCACTATTCACAATAGCAAAGACATAGGATTAACCCAAATTCCCATCAATGATACACTGGATTAAAAAAAAATGTGGTACATGTACACCATGGAATACTATGCGGCCATAAAAAACGAAGGAGACTGTGTCCTTTGCAGGGACATGGATGGAGCTGGAAGCCATTATCCTCAGGAAACTAACGTAGAAACAGTAAATCAAACACCACATGTTCTCACTTATAAGTGGGAGCTGAATCATGAGAACACATGGACACACTGGGGAAAACAACAAAACTGAGGCTTGTTGAAGGGCAGGGGGTGGGTGGAGGAAGAGGATTAAGAATAGCTAATGGATACTGGGCTTAATACCCAGGTGATGGGTTGATCTGTGCAGCAAAGCACCATGGCACACACTTACCTATGTAACAAACCTGTGCATCCTGCACATGTTCCTCAGAACTTCAACACAAAGTTGAAGGAAAAAATTAAGAATGCAGAAAACTGCTTCCCCAGTTTCATTCCTATTTAGATGTAGTAAATTATAACCCCAATAAATCTCTTTCATATTGAACCAGACTGTTTGATTTCCATGTCTTTCTTCAGCCTGATTTGTTCCTCATATACAAACTGTACAATTGTATATAGGAATTTGGTGAAGTATAGAGAAGAAATACTGGAGGACTATTCAGCTTATTACCGTCTGAAGTAGCTCTGTTTTGGCACTAATCATATTCATTCAAATCAACCAAAACAAAAATCTTGCAAAAAAACAACTACCCTTTTCAAAGTTTGGTATAGTGATGCTAATATTTCTCGTATAGATTTCATTGGAAGGAAGAATAAAATCCTTACTCTTTTATCCTATCCAAATTATCAAAATATCTCTTCTACCCTCATGCTGTACTCCATGAGTGTCTGGTTAAATAAAATCTCTTAACTCTTATCAAAAAGTGATAATTTTTGATCACTACAGTGATGTTTTAATACATATTAACTGGTTCTGGCCATGTCTGCATAGACCAGCCTCTTTATTTACCTTTGAAAACATTACATTGTGTTATACTGCATGCATTTATATTAGTGTCTTCCTTAACAGAGTATCTAGTATGTTTAAACCTGAGGAATATGCCTTACTCATATTCCCACCTGCATGTCTAATTTAGAATCTAGTCCACAATAGACATTCAATCAAATGTGTTTAAGACTAAATTAAGAATCATTCATTAGTATTAGTTAAATCAATATAATTTCACTTTGGTTTACTTAGTGTAACCTTAATTATCACTGAAAATTACCTTACAAGTTAAACAGAAATATTAATATTGCCTCTATAATTCATCATTATTAATCACTGTCACTTTGATAAAATTATAACAATTGTGGATATAAAAGATCACTTTGGCAATATTCATTATTAATTCACTTAGATTCATGGAGAAGCGTCTTTTTAATTAGCCTGTATCATATGCTGACACTCTCTTCTCAGGTTTAGATTTCTTTCTTCTCTCATCTCTACCATTGTAAATTTTACCTACATTTCAAGATTCAGCACATCAGCTCTGACATAAAACCTTTCTTTATTACTAAAGTTCGTTTTAACCTTACCCTTCCCTATATTTTGAAATTCCATATTCTAATAACAGCCATTATTGTGCCCTGATTATAATCAAATTATCTACATAAGGAAATTCTGGCTATTTTATGACAAATCCTGCATCAAATAATTTTTGAAAATCCCAAAGTATTTTAAAAATTATTAAAAATATTTTATATTTATTAAGCTATATTAGTCAAACAAATTATCAACTATAGCATTATAGTAATATACATAAATAATAGCATTGTAATGATTCAATAATAATTTTTTCACATGGCTTGACAAAATATATTCTCTTCATGTTTATAGTTTACAAATTAATAAGATGGAATGTTAGGATGGGTTAATATTCATGTTTTCTCTATTATAATGGGAACATAATTCTTTTTATTTTTTCTAATACAAATATTATATTTAAAAAAATGTTTATGATTCGGAAGATAGTCCTTATAAGACTCAGTTAAGACTTGAATCAAAATCAAATCAGATGCTTTATCTTCAAAAACCACCCTTGGTGAAGCAGGCTGCCATATGTTAATTACTTAAACTATAAAAATAGTAGCTTAAAGATTCCATGTGTGATGTACACTCACAAATGGTAAGCTTAGAAAATACGTCTATAGTACTGAAGCTGTCTTCTTTGACTAATGCTTTTATGAAGGCAATTAAAATTAATAGTTGGAAAAGACAAAAAAATGCAACATGTCTTTTGTTCTTTTTCTGCAAATGACAAAGACCAACTTTAATACTTGAAGGCTCATTATTAAAAAGATACAGAAAAGCCTAAGTAGGTAGGGTTAAGATTTGAAATGCATTTAATAATTTTGAGAAAACAGGTATTTAGTAGAATTCTCTTTAGTAAGCTTAGAAGATAATCAGACAACAGATAATGCATACATGAATAAATATAAATGCCAGTATCAGAAAATACAGTTATTGTCTTTCCAATCTCATGTACCGCATCTATAAAGTGTAAAGAATTCTTACTCTTAGATAATTCTTAAGTCTTACTTTACATTTATTTTCAATAAAATGGTACAAAAAGATATTAGGGATTGGAGAAAAATTTTCTGACATTCTGAAATAATTATAAATCTCACACAATAGATTTTATAATAACACTTGTCTTTTCATTTTATTTTTTACTGACAGCAATTTTGTTTTCCTAATATTTTCTATCTCAGATGTATCAACATGATAATGAAGAACTGATAAGGCTGAGGAACATCAGCAAGATGGCAGAACAGAAGATTCCATGGCATGACTCCCCCAAAAAAATATAAAAAGAAATTATTCAAATAAAAAGATACAACCATGAATTCACCAGAACTCAGAGGAGAAGTAGAAAAACTCCCTGGGTCAAAGAATTTAGAAAAAAAAAACATGATGAGTAATTTCAGACTATAACGGCCCCTCCTCCAAGCCAGCATAATGCTACTCACAGAGAATTTTCTAAGACTCGTGGTTTCTGAGGTGAGAGGAGGAAATTTTAGATAGACATTTTATTTTCCTATTGGTCTGGGAATCTCTGTGGTAAGCCAACTTTTGTCCAATCTCATGGGAACCAATGAGAGTACCAGGAGGGCTGGACTATCTGGGATTAGTTACATACAAAGAGCAGGGCAATAACTGCAGCCTTTGGCACATTGATCTTGATGGCTACTGCAAGCTGAGATCACTGGGTATGCCAAATTGAAGAGACTGACCAGCGCCATATTGCTGCATAGACACAATCTACAGCAAGGTATGAATCCCTGGTTGTATTTTTCACAAAGCCCAGGTGCTCTTGTGGAGGTTACTCCTGACTCAGAAACAATTAAAGGGTCAGGCTTAAGCTTCAGTGCCCACTTAAGTCTTCCCTAGAATGGGGAAAATAAAATGGCAGAACAGCAATATTCCTCTGGGGCAAAGTTTAAGTTTTGGTGTACACTATAAGCCTTCCCCAGATTAGGAAAAAATAGGAAAGAAGTGATTTAGTTCCAAAGCAGTATTTAGGTTTCTGTGAGCACTGTAAGTATTCCCCAGACTGGAAATAACATACCAGGATAACAAGTCAGTTCCAGTGAAGTGTTTTAGTTCTGGTGTTCACTATTAGTCTTCCTCAAAATTGGAAGAAATCACAGGCCAGAGTTCAAGTTCCAACACTAAGCAGAAAAAAAACCTACCACCACCAAAGAATACCTGCAAAACTAGAAGAAGTGATGATTGTAATGCACAGGCACCAACAGAAAGTCACAAGGACTGCAAAAACTCAAGAAAATGTGACACCACCAAAATAAACCAGTGGAGTTCTAGCAAAGAACGCAGAAGCACTAAAAATTTATGCAAGGTCAGAGAATTCAGAATAAACCTCTTAAGAATTTCAGGGTATTACACAAAAGTACAGATAGAGAACGAAATGAAATTTGGAAAAAAATCCGAATTTCCAGGCTTGACAAAGATATAGACAAAATTTGAGAAAACACAAAGAGAAATCCTAGAAATTAAGAATATAATAATTAATCTGAAAAAATTATTAGAAAGCTCTAACAGCAGAATTGATCAAACAGAAGAAAAAAATCACTTAACAACTAGGAAAGACAGAAAAAAAGAAGGATCTAACAATCAGAAACAAGTAATAAGATGGCAGTAGTAAAGCCGGACATATCAATATAAATAATTTAAATTATCCAGCTAAAAGAGTGGCTGATGTATTTTTTAAATCCTAATATATAATGTATACTATCTACAAGAAACTCACCTCACATCTGTTGGCACACAGACTGAGAGTGAAGAGATGGAAAAAGTTACTCCATGAAAATGGAAACAAAAAATAATAGTAGTAGCTATTCTTATATAAAGTAGAGATTAAGTAAAAAACAAAAGGGCAAAAAAGGCCATTATATAATGAAAAAGTGTCAACATAGCAAGAAGATATAACAATTATAGACACATATGCACCCAATACTGGAGCACCTAAATATATGGAACAAATATTAATAAACCTAAAGGGAGAGGCTGACTGCAATACAGTAATAATAAGGCTGTTCCGCACCTCACTTTCAGCAACGGACAGATCATTCAGTCAAAAAATTAACAAACATTGAATTTAAACTGCACTATAGACAAAATGAAGTAGATTTATTTAAACAAGCAATTAAAGAATATTCCAACAGCTGCAGAATACACGTATTTCTCAACATCACATGGAATATTCTTCAGGATAAACCATATGTTAGGTAAAAAGCAGGTCTTAATAAATTTAAATAAATGAAAACCATATCTAGTATCTTTTCTGACCACACTGATATAAAACTAGAAATAAATAACAGAAGAATATTGGAAACTGTACAAATTTATGGAAAATAAACAACATGCTCTTGAATGACAAATGGATCAAGGAAGAAATTTCAAAGCAAATATTAAAATTTCTTGAGATAAATAAAAATGAAATCACAACATACCAAAACCTATGGGATATGGCAAAAATAGTTCTGAAGGAAGGTTATAGCGATAAATGTCCACATCAAAAAAGGAGAAAGACTTAAAATAAACAAACTAATGATACACCACAATGGACTAAAAAAAAAAAAAAAAAAAACAAGAACAAATGAAAAGAAAATCTTCCAAACCCAGCAAGAGAAAAAAAAATAAAAATAAATATCAGAGTAGAAATAAATTTTAGACTAAAAATAATGCAAAAACATCAATAAAACAAAAAGTTGGCCTTTAAAAAAGATAGAATTGAGAAACTAACTAGAATAACTAAAAAAAGAGAAGATTCAAATTAATAAAATCAGAGATGAAAAAAGAGACATTAAAATTGATACCACAGAAATACAAAGGATCATCAGAAACTATTAGGAAGCTTAGAAGAAACAGATAAGTTTCTGGACATACAACTGACAAAGATTGAACCGTGAAGAAACAGAAATTCTGACAAGACTGATAATAAGTAATGAGATCAAAGCAGTAATAAAAGATGTCTCACCAAAGAAAAGCCCAGGGCCTGAAGGATTAGCTGCTAGATTCTACAAAACATTAAAAGCATCATTAATATCAATTTTTCTCCAATTATTTCAAAAACATTAAAGAGGAGGGATTACATCCAAACTCATCTAAAAGGTCAGCATAACCCTGATGCCAAAACCATACAAGAACATAATGGAGAAAGAAAACTACAGGTCAATAACCCTGATGAATATAGATGCAAAAATCTTCAACAAACTCCCAGTAAACCAAATTCAACAACACATTGAAAAGTTCATTCATGATGATCAAGTGGATTCATCACAGGGATTCAAGGATGATTCAGTGTACACCAATCAATAAATGCCACATATTACATTAAAAGAATCAAGAACAAAAATCATATGATTATTTCAATAGATGCTGAGAAAGCATCTATTGTTTTGGCATCAGGGTTATGCTGACCTTTTAGATGAGTTTGGATGTAATCCCTCCTCTTTAATGTTCTGAAATAGTTTGAAAAAATTGATATTAATGATATTCAATAAAATTTAACATCCATTCATGATTAAAACCCTCAAAAAACTTGGTGTAGAAGGAACAGATATCAAAACAATTAAGGCCATATATGGTAAACCCACAGTTAATATAATACTGAATGAGACAAAATTAAAAGTCTTTCCTCTAAAATCTCAAAAAAAGACAAGGATGCCCACTTTCACTACTTTTATTCAATACAGAACTGAAAGTCCTAAACAGACTAATTAAGCAAGAAAAAGTGAAATTGTCCCTGTTTGCAGATGACATAATCTTCTATTTAGAAAGAGCTAAAGATTCCACCAAAATACTGTTAGAACTAGTAACTGAATTCAGTAAATTTGCTTTATTCAAAATCAACATACAAAAATCAGTAGCATTTCTATACACCAATAGTGAGCCATCTGAAAAAAGTCAAGACAGTAATCCCATTTACAATAACTACAAAATACATAGGAATAAATTTAACCAAGGAAGTGAAACATCTCTACAAAGAAAACTATAAAACACTGATGAAGGAAATTGAAGGGGTCACAAATAGTGAAACCATATCCTGTGTCCATAGATTAAAAGAATTAATATTGTTAAAATGACCACACTACCAAAAGCAATCTAGAGATTCAATGCAATCCCTATCAAAATACAAACGCCATTTTTCAGTAGAAGAAGAAAATGTACAAGAACAATCCTAAAATTTACATGGCACCAGAAAAGACCACATATAGCCAAGGCAATCCTGATTAAAAAGAACAAAGCTGGAAGCATCACACTACCTGATGTCAAAATATGCTCCAAACATTGTAAACAAAACAGCACAGTACTGACGTAAAACCAGACAAATAGCCCAATGAAATTAAATAGAAATCCAAGTATACAGCCACACATTTACAGCCAACTCATTTTTAACAAAGATCTTAAAGACATATATTGGGAAAAGGAGAATCTGTGTAATAAATGGTGCTAAGAACACTGGGTATCCGTATGAAGAAGAATAAAACTAGACCCCTATCTCACACTATATATAAAAAATCAACTCAAAATGGATTAAATACTCTAATGTAAGATCTGAAACTGAAATTACTAGAAGAAAACACTGAGGAAGTGCTTCAGGACATTGGTTTGGGTAAAGATTTTGGGGCTAAGATTTCAAAAACACAGGCAACAAAAACAAAAACAGACATAAGGGATTACATTAAGCTGCAAAGCTGCTGCACAGCAAAGCAAACAATAAATTTTGTTTCCACATAATAGGAGAAAATATTTGTAAACTATTCATCTGACAAGGGATTAATAATCACAATATAAAAGAAAAACAGGCCAAAAGTAAAAATATAATAATAGTCAAATTAAAATCGGAAAAAAGATCCAAATAGACATTTCACAAAACATACAAATGACCAACACGTATATGAAAAAATGTTGGAGATCACTAATCGTCAAAGAAATGCAGCTCAAAACCAGAATGCGATATCATCTCATCCCAGTTAAATGGCTATTGTAAAAAACAGCAAAAAATAACAAAATGCTGATGAGGATGCATTCAAAGGAAAAAACACACGGATGATGGGAATGTAAATTAGAACAACCACTATGGGAAATAGTAAGAAAGTTCCTCAAAAAACTAAAAATAGACCTACCATATGATTCAGCAATCTCACTGCTGGGTATATATCTGAAAGAAAGAAAATAACTACATGGGAGAGATATATATTGAAGCTATGTTCACAATAGCCAAAATATGAATTCAACGTAAGTGTCCATCAATAGATGAACAGATAAAGAAAATGTGGTATACATACACAATGGAATATTATTTAGCCATTACAAAGAATAAAATTCTGTCACTTGTAGCAACACGGATGGAACTGGAGGACATTATGTTAACAGAAATAAGGCACAGAGAAACAAATATCACATGTTCTCACTTATATGTGTGAAGTAAAAAAGTTGATCTTATGGAGGTAGAGAATAGAATGATAGATAGCAAAGGCCAGGAAGTTTAGGTTAGGAAGTGAGGATGATGAGAGGTTGGTTAATGAGTAGGAAACTGAAGTGAGATAGAATGACTAAGTACTCCTGTTGGATATCACAGTAGAATGATTGTAATTGACAATAATTCATTGTCTATTTCAAAATAACTGCATGTGAAGAATGAAATGATACATGTTTGAGGTGATGGATATTCTAATTACCCTGATTTGATCAATGCACACTGTATGCATATATTGAAATAACATATGCACTCCATAAATGTGTACAATTATTGTGCATCAGCAAAAAAGACAAATAAAATCCTAATTGTAAAAAAAAGAATAGGGCAATCAAGACAGAAGTATTCTTCTTATAAAAAAATACCCCTTTATTTTATAGATGCACCTTGTGGGCGCTGGGAGATTTTTGTCAATTTGTGCAATAGGGAATCTAGCTGAGAGGTTTATCACTCTTTGTTCTAGATGTACAAAATTGTATATATTGCTCAATATATGAAATTCTCATTAATGTTCTCTCTAAAGTAACATGAACATCAATAATAGGTCAATTTGGAAACTCTTAAAAATGTCAAAATTACATGAAGTGCCTTTCTTCACACAGAGGACTATGTCTCACCATATTACAGATTAAACAATGAGTTGAAGCTTAAAAAAGAAAAATAAATACAGTGCTTTCTAAGCTTACACATTCTCCCTCTCTCTACCTCCTTCACTTCCTTTTTCCTTCCTTTCTACCTTTCCTTCTCATTTCCATTAATTCAAAGAATATTCACTAAGTGACTGCTCAGTGCCAACTACTAATGATGAAATGAATGTGAATATAGTCAGAATTATTTCCCTCATCAAGTTTATATTCTAACAAAGCAAAAGCAATCAAACAAAAACAAAGTAAGAATCACAGAGCAGAATAAGTGTTGGGTAAAATATATAAAGGCATAAAACATGGTATAACTGAGGGAAGGCTGAAATGCCTTTATATTGTATGGTTAGAAAATGTCTCCTTGAAATTTAAGTTAAAAAATTGAAAGAAATACTTGTAAGTTTTAAAGATGGTACTGGGGAGTGTACTGTTATGCAGATGGCAATGCATAAAAATGGAATAAGCCAGACCTTGGAGTTTTGGAGGCATTTAGAAGACAGAATGCAAGTCTTTCGGGTATCAGTAGTGAGAAGTGAAGCCAGCTGGGCTTCTGGGTGGGGTGGGGACTTGGAGAACTTTTCTGGCTAGCTAGAGGATTGTAAATGCACCAATCAACACCCTGTGTCTAGCTAAAGGTTTGTAAATGCACCAATCAGCACTCTGTAAAAACGGACCAATCAGCACTCTGTAAAACAGACCAATCAGCACTGTGTAAAACGGACCAATCGGCACACTGTAAAATGGACCAATCAGCACTCTGTAAAATGGACCAATCAACTCTCTGTAAAATGAACCAATCAGCAGGATGTGGGTTGGGCTAAATAAGGGAATAAAAGTAAGCCACCAGAGCCAACAGTGGCAACTAGCTTGGGTCCCTTTGTGTGGTGTGGAAGGTTTATTCTTTCGCTTTTTGCAACAAATCTTGCTGTTGCACGCTCTTAAGATCCGAACTATGTTTATGAGCTGTAACAGTCACCTTGAAGGTTTGCAGCTTCACTTCTGAAGCCAGCAAGACTATGCACCCACCAGGAGGAACGAACAACTCCAGACATGCCGCGTTTATGAACTGTAACGCTCACTGCAAAGTTCTGCGGCTTCACTCCTGAAGCCAGAGAGACTATGAACCCACTGGGAGAAACAAACAACTCTGGAAGCACTGCCTTTATGAACTGTAACACTCACTGCGAGGGTCTGTGGCATCATTCTTGAAGTCAGCAAGTCTAAGAACCCATCAGAAGGAACCAATTCCGGACACAGGAGAATGTAGGCTATATTGGAAGAAATGGCAAGGATCAGTTCACGCAAGGCTTTGTAGAAAATTTAAATTTTATTTTATGTTGAAAAGTAAGCACTGAAGAATTATAATCAAAGGCATAATATGACAAAATATAGATTTTGTATAAACTACAGATAAAACCAGTTCAGAGTAAGTATTTATTAAAACATATAAATTAATGTTTTTTTAAATTATCAATGTAACAGGACTTAGACTATCATCCCAAATTGTATAGAAACCTTAAATCATTGTCATTTATTTTATTTGATTTGAAAAAACAATACAAACCTTCACTGAAAATAGGACGCTGAGTTTACTTATTTGATTTGGAAAAAAGAATACAAACCTTCACTGAAAATAGGACGCTGAGTTTAGTTGTTTTTTTTTTTTTTTCTTTTTTTTTTTTTTTGAGATGGAGTCTGGCTCTGTTGCCCAGGCTGGAGTGCAGTGGCGTGATCTCGGCTCACTGCAAGTTCCGCCTCCCACGTTCACGGCACTTTCCCGTCTCAGCCTCCCGAGTAGCTGGGACTACAGGCGCCCGCCACTATGCCCAGCTAATTACCACTTGTGTTACAAACATAGCTTGTAATACAAAAGTCAGTATGCAAATTTCACCTTGTTTGGTTCTCTCAATTGCAATTCCTTTGCTGTTTATCACACAGTGTTCTCCAGCTGATCACTTAAGTTCTTTTGTTCAGCCTGAGGGAATGCAGTGACTCATCCCCCTTTTGGGCTCTCATTGTCTGTCCAACTAGCTCTCTAGCCATGATCCAAAATGCCCAATTTATTTTTTTATCATAAAGGAGCCACACATGTCCCATAGCATCTTTTATTAAAACAAATAGGCTAAATGCCATGTAGCATCATATTTTTCTTGTCACGGCACCAGAAAGAATATTAATTGTTAACTCCCTGACTTTATATCTTAAACACAAGTCACACAACAATCTGCTGAGTAGCAGAAACAATACACGACAAATGTTAAGTTATCTAAGTAGTCTCCTTAACTGGTTTTTCAACAAGTTGGACAAATAGTAAAACAATCTTTATATTTTCCAGTGGTGGAAGGGGAAAGCAAGGCATTGCAGTTCAGTAACATTCGTCTATTCTTGAGTTTATCCACAGCCTTGCCTTTTTAAACTTAGCTATTGAAGGTTAGAGTTAGGCCATTCAATTAAGCATGGAAAATAGGTTCTTAAAGGTGATCACTTATCCCAAGTTGGTATGTTATGTACATTAGAGCTTCATTTGAAAATAAAACTAGGCCAGGAGCGGCGGCTCATGCGTGTAATCCCGGCACTTTGGGAGGCCGAGGCGGGCGGATCACGAGGTCAGGAGATTGAAACCATCCTGGCTAACACGGTGAAACCCCGTCTCTACTAAACAAAATACAAAAATTAGCCGGGCGTGGTGGTGGGCGCCAGTAGTCCCAGCTACTAGTGAGGCTGAGACAGGAGAGTGGTGTGAACCTGGGAGGCGGAGCTTGCAGTGAGCAGAGATCCCGCCACTGCACTCCAGCCTGGGCGACAGAGCTAGAATCTGTCTCAAAAAAACTGAAAACATAAAACTAAAAGAGGTCCATTTTAGCATCAATTTAAAGCCAGATGTAATGGTGAATGTTTAAATAAAGGAATCTTTCACTCTAGTCCGCAGATCATGCATGTGACAGAACTGAATTTCATTTATATTATTCACTTACAAATTAATATTTATTCATTTAAGCAGAAATCAAATACTAAGTTAATTGGAACCGTTCTGGACACTGGAAACACATAAGTAAATAAGATTTCAATTATAGCCATTCTGAAGATTTTAGCAAATGTGCATGAGGTGTTCGGGTGTGTGTGTGTGTGTGTGTTCCATTCTCTAAGATTACGGCTATGAAAGGGCAAATAATAAGTGCTTTAAAGTCATTAAAATATACTTAAGTATAATTCTGACATGCAAGGCCTTGAAAGAAATTAACCTTTCCATGAAGACTATTTCTATAAACACATTATGTTCATTGGATACCTATGTTAGCCTTTATTATGTTAACATTAATACCGAATTATACTTATCTACTCACTTCTAGCTATTTTATCATTATTAAATAAAATCACTGGGCTAATCTGATTAGCAAACTGGTGAGTCATGTTCTGTGCCATTTTAAGATGACAAAATACAGATAGATATGTAAAGTGATTTTTAAGATGCATTAAAGTAAAAATACTTGAAAAATTTAAAATCATTAAAAACTAGTGGTTGTGGAAAGGGTAGACATCAAAAACTTAATAAAGGATGACTGTAGTAAAGACAAATTACTCTTTTTTGTGATCTTTTTCTAGCTGACACCTGTTCACTCTTTGGAACTCAGTTGAAAATCAATTCCTTTGAAAAAACACCTCTGAAGTCTTGGTGCCAGATTGGTAGTTCTTTCTATATGCTTCTGTGTCCAGAATTGGTTCCTTCCAGTGGGTTCTCGGTCTCGCTGACTTAAAGAATGAAGCCAGGTACTCTTGTTGTATTACAGCTCTTAAAGATGGTGTGTCTGGAGTTTGTTCCTTTAGATGTTCAGGTGTGTCCAGAGTTTTTTCCTTCCAGTGGGTTCGTGGTATTGCTGACTTCAGGAGTGACGCCACAGACCTTCACAGTGAGTGTTACAGCCCTTAAAGGTGGCGCGTCCGGAGTTGTTTGTTCCTCCCAGTGAGTTCATGGTCTCACAGACTTCAGGAACGAAGCTGCAGACCCTTGCAGTGAGTGTTACAGCTCATAAAGGTAGTGCGGACCCAAAGAGTGAGCAGCAGCAAGATTTATTGTGAAGAGCTAAAGAACAAAGCATCCACAGCATGGAAGGGGACTGGAGCAGGGTGCCTCTTCTGGCTTGGGTGGCCAGCTTTAATTCCCTTATTTGGCCCCGCCCACATCCTGCTGATAGGTCCATTTTACAGAGCGCTGATTGGTCCATTTTACAGAGCTCTGATTGGTCCATTTTTACAGAGTGCTGAATGGTGCATTCAGAAATCTTTAGCTAGACACAGAGCGCTGATTGGTGCGTTTTTACAGAGTGCTGATTGGTGCATTTACAAACCTTTAGCTAGACCCAGAGCACTGATTGATGTGTTTACAATCCTCTAGCTAGACAGAAAAGCTCTCCAATTCCCTACCTGACCCAGAAGCCCAGCTGGCTTCACCTCTCACTTCCATCAGGCACTAACCACAGGTATTCTTCAGCAACTATTATACTCCATAATTGCCTCTGTATTGTCTCTCTCCCTTTTAGGACCATAGCTCTTAGGGCAGAAGTGCTGCTTATTCATCTGTGTATTACGTTTTTAATAAATATGTATCAAATGAATAAAAATTATATAAAGTTCTAACTATGGAACTTTGTAATAAGCATTCCTTGCTCCAGTGTCAGTTTTATGTAACAAGTCTCAATATCTGATTCATAGATTAGAGAAAATGTACTAAAATTTTAAAGCACATTTGTGACCCATGTTACATGTGCTTTCATCAATAAATTGTTTTAAACTTCAAACCTCCTTTTCTGGTAATAAATAATGATTTAATGTAAATAAATTCAAAAACCGCATAATATGGCAAAATATGCAACTTTTTAAAGAGTTGTAATTCGGGGATTTAATATTTCTTGACATGAAGCTGGTGCATCTTTCCTGTTTGTTTCAAAACATATAAAGTCTAGATATCATAATTTACACAGAATGATATATTTAAAAACAAATGTTCAGATTTATATAATGTCAACTTTCCTGTAAAGTCTATTTATATCAAATTGTGTAAACATTTTCTGTATAGCAAATTTACTCAGCCATCTGACACATTTTATACACTTACATTAAGGTACTTATAAAAGCTTAGAAAAAATACAAGACACATTTTGATTGACATATATGCAAATATCACCAAGATTTAACTTATGTTCACAATTTATCATATTGTCTAAGCTCTCACTTTTGCTCTATTATTTACTTTTCTCCAAATAATGACTTCCCCTAGCTTGAAGATAAATGCTACTATAAACCTTTAACAACAAAACAAAACAAAATCCAGAATCAATGTTTTCCTCACTTTCACTTCTCTAACACTACTTCCTGGTCTTTTCCAAAATATCACTTTAAATTATGTTTGATGCTTATGAAGATATTTTCTTCCACATTCCCAAATAGCACATTTTTCATTTTTAAGAGTTATTTTAGATTCAAAGTGTACATGTGCAGGTTTGTGACATTGGCATATTGCATGCTTGAATTTGGGATTCTATTGAATATATCACCCAAAGAATGAACATAGTTCCCAATAGTCAGTTTTTCAACCCTTGCCTCTATCCCTCACTCCCCTTTTTTGGAGTGCCTAGTGTCTGTTTTTTCCATGTTTATATCCATATATTCCCATTGTTTGGCTCCCTCTTACAAGTGAGAACATGTAGTATTTGATTTTCTTTTGTTAATGGTATCAAGCTACATCCATGTTGCTGCAAAAGACATACTTTTTTATGGCTGTGTAGTATTCCATGGTATATATGCATCACATTTTCTTTCTTTTTCTTTTTTTTTTTTTTTTTGACATGGAGTTTTGCTCTTGTTGCCCAGGCTGGAGTGAAATGGCACAATTTCGGCTCACCACAACCTCTGCCTCCTGGGTTCAAGCGATTCTCCTGCCTCAGCCTCCCGAGTAGCTGGGATTACAGGCATGCGCCACCATGCCTGGCTAATTTTGTATTTTTAGTAGAGATGGGGTTTCTCCATGTTGGTCAGGCTGGTCTTGAACTCCCGACCTCAGGTGATCCGCCCACCTCGGCCTCCCAAAGTGCTGGGATTACAGGCGTGAGCCACCACGGCTGGCCGCACAACATTTTCTTTATCCAATCCACCATTGATGGGCACTTAGATTGATTCTATGACTTTGCCATTGTGAATAGTGCTGCAATAAAAATACAAAGGCAAGTGTCTTTTAAATAGAATGATTTATTTTCCTTTGGGCACATACCCATTAGTGAGATTTCTGGGTTGAATAGTAGTATTTTTAGTTATCTAAGTTATATCCATACAGTTTTCCACAGGGTTTAACTAATTTGCAATCTTACCAACAGTGTATATGTGTTCTCTTTTCTCTGCATCCCTGCCAACAGCTGTTATTTTTTGATTTTTTAATAATAGCCATTCTGACTGGTTTGAGATGGTATCTATTAATAATTGTTATTTTAATTTGCATTTCTCTGATGATTAGTGATGAACATTTTTTCATATGCTGTTGGCTGCTTGTATGTTTTCTTTTGAGAAGTATCTGTTCCTTGTCCTTTGCCTCCTTTTTGTTTGTTTGTTTTGAGATGGAGCCTCACCTTGTTGCCTAGGCTGAAGTGCAGTGGCGTGATCTTGGCTCATTGCAACCTCTGCCTCCTGGGTTCAAACGATTCTCCTGCCTCAGCCTCCCGAGTAGCTGGGACTACAGGCATGTGCCACCATGCCCAGCTAATTTTTGTATTTTTAGTAGAGACGGGGTTTCATCATGCTGGCCAGGCTGTTGTTGAACTCCTGACCTCAGGCAATCGATCCACCCATCTGGGCCTCCCAAAGTGCTGGGATTACAGGCGCGAGCCACAGCACCCAGCCCTTTGCCCAGTTTTTAATGGTCTTGTTTGTTCTTTTCTTGTTAATTTATTTGTTCCTTATAAGATCTGAAAAGCAGTCCTTTGTCAGATTCACAGTTTGCAAATGTTTTCTCCCATTCTTTAGGTTTTCTGTTTACTCTGTTGATTGTTTCTTTTGCTGTGCAGGAAGCTCTTAGTTTAATTAAGTCCCATTTGTCAATTTTGTTTTTGCTGCCTTTGCAAATAGCTGTTATTAATATATGTTGTTAAATTGAGATATTATATAAGGTGGATTTAATCATAAATACACAACCTGTTCAACAACCATCTTTCACTATGACTGTCCAATTTTAGATATTGTCTAAAAATAATACCCTATGGTTCTATAAGCTCTTCCTTTCCCTACCCCACAACAGACACAGATACATGTTCTAATTAGTTATACAACAACATCATTTGTATGTGTAATATTCTATGTTTATAGTATCTTGACTTTAACGTGATTCTTTTCTTGCATCTATAGTATATTAATATTATTTATTTTTATTGTATGCTATTTTATTCACCTTGGAGTTAATGATCCCAAATTTTGGCACAATTTTCTATATACTTACATCCCTTTTTTTCTTCCAACACTCATATAGAATTGCAAATTACTTCTCAATACTTTAAAATATATGAGAAAACCCATTAGTGCTTTTTTCTCATTGAGGACATCTCTCCTGAAATCATTTGCCTTCATGGGGCTTTTCTCCTCATTGTCTTCAAAATTCCCTGTACCTCCTTTCTTTTCTATAACTTCTCTTTTCTAGATACCAGATAGGACTTTTCTTGATTTTCTACAAGAAATTTGTTAATATATCCTTTATTAGCATCATAATAAGAGAAGAATGAGACATAATACTTTGAGACCTAACACAACTGAAAATATCTACATTCTAATCTTATAATTGGTAGATAGATTGGATGAATAGAGAGGTCTAAGTTAGGATTACTTTTCCCTCAGAAGGTTAAAAGCCTTACTACATTTACTTTTATATTTCAATGTGAATTTTGAGAGGTTTAATTTGTAGTAGAAGAATATCTGATAATTGAGAAAATTCTATCGTATTACAAAGAAACAACAAAATGACATTACTTATAAAAGACAGAAGTGGTAGTACTTGTATAAAATGTTTTAAAACCAAATGATATTTGCACCAAAAATGTCTGATTTTCTATATTTCTTTATAATAAAATAATCTCATACTGGATTACAAAGGTTTGGAAATTGAATTATATCAAATTTTAAGTGAGCATGACATTTCCACTGGAATTTATTACCAAATGTTTGCATGTTGATGAATTACTTCTGGTAACAACATATAATGTGATTTTTTAATTTAATAATTTTTTTAAAGATTTACTTGATATTAACTTAGCTGTGCTTTAAGCCACTCTTAATTAGCTTTTAATAAACTTGACTTAGGTGTTCGAGACCAGCCTGAGAAACACAGCAAGACCCTGTCTCTACAAAAAAAAAAAAAAAAAAAAAGAGAGAGAGAGAGAGACAGGGTCTTGCTATGTGGCCCAGAATGGCTTCAAACTCTTGGGGTGAAGTGATTCTGCTGTCTTAGCCTCCCAAGTAGCTTGGATTATAGGCATGACACAGCTCCCTCTTTTTCTATATGAAGGTCTTTAGAGATTAGTTTCTATACTAAGATATGTTTGATAGAGGATAAAGAATTCCTACAATTTCCATTAATATAAGATATAAAGAGAATTTCAAACAAACCCCAAGATCTTCATGTGTCTCTAGTTTACCTCACTGTCATTATTCAGTAATTGTGTAGTAAATAATCGCAGACATTATGTCTTTTTATGCTTGCATATTCTTTATTCTTCTCTTTGAGAGAGATTTATTTTCCTTCAATCAGTAGATGCTGAAGTGATTTTGATACATGTCAGCCAGTCTCTTAAGCCTGATAGAATCCTTTGTCTGTTGGAGAAAATCTAAGAACCTACAGGTTTCATGGATGTGTGTGAAAGATCAGGAATCTTGTACTTCATTTTAGGAGTAGGCTTCAATATTTCCTTTCATTATAATCTCTTTTTAAATTGCTATATCATTTTCTATTAAATAAACCTTGGAGTATGTAAGTATTGATTGACATCTTTCATTCAAAAGATCACTGGTAACCATTCCTCTTATGGCAAACTCACAGACTTAGAATTTGTTCTTACATTTTCTTTCCCATTCACACTGCTGAAAAGGCCTGGTGTCTCTAATTACTAAACCTACTTAGGGTTTTGCAATGTATGTGGGTTTGTTTCATTTTGTCTTTCATTGTATAGTCATTTATATTTCGACTATTTAGATCTTCACTTTGTAATTACAATTTTTTCAGCTACTTTCCATCTTCAACAATGTTCTTCTCTTGTCTACTACTGCTCTTGTAGTGTACTTCTTTTACATTACTTAACTGTAATTCTGATAACGTTTGAAAGAAAAATGATAATGTATATATATATATCAATCAAATCATGTTTAGTGCATATATAATTGCATCCACTCACTCATTTATCTCCCTCCTAACCCAGAAAATACACAATATCCTAAAATTAGTGTTTAATCTATTTGTCCAGATTTTTGTCCATTTTGTTATATAAAGTTTTAATAAATGGTGTGTGTCCTTGATTTGAAATGTAAATGTTTCTCTAGAACATATACTGAGGCAGAATGATCTTCCTTTATTGTAAACTTTTAACAAGATACATAGCTGCCCAAGCTAGAGATAGATTTTCCTGTCTCTTTTGTGGCTCAAAGTATGACCATAAGATGTAAACTTGAGCACTGTGTTCAAAATTCTTCTTTAAAATAAATCTTAAAATTGTCTTGGACTTCTCTTTACTGTGTCCATGAACTGGGGTGCAGAAGTGAAGCTTGCCAGGCTTCATGTCACATGATGACTAAAAACAGCACTGTATAGTAGCAATTAGCTACATACGTGATCGATAGGAGGCAATACTTGACCCCAGGGCTGAGGCTTGGACACTGGACCAGATTGACAACTAGCTAAAACAGAGCCAGGGTGAAAGCAGCTTTCAATTAGACAGCCTGTTGGTGTGCCATGTCAATTTACTGTTGCCATGGCAACACACAGGAGTTACTGCCCCTTTCCATGGTGGTGACCCAATGATTACTACCCCTTCCAGAGAAATTTCTGCATAAACTGCACCTTAATCTGCATGCAATTAAAAGTGGATATAAATTTGACTGCAAAACTGCCCCAAACTGCTACTCTCTGCCTACAAGGTAGCCCTAGCTATGGAGCAGTCACGAATCTGTAACACCACTGCAGTTGTAACACTGCCTCTTCAATAAAGTTGTTTTCTTCTACCTCTGGATTACCTTTGAATTCTTTCCTGGGCAAAGACAAGAAACCAGCAGGCAAAGCTGCACTGTGGGGCTTGCCTGCCCTGTATCACATATGGCAATTAAATAAATTTAAAATTTTAGTTTTCAGTTACACTAGCCATGTTTCACATGTATAATAGCCACATTTGTCTAGCAACTATCATAATAGATGGTGCAAATATAGAATATTGCCATCATCTCAGAAAGTTCTTTTGCTTGCTCTCAGGAATCAGAAATGAGAACAATGAAAGTAATCCAGGTCAAAGTCGGCTTACCCTGCAATCGTTTATGCAGTATATCTCTGTATCCATCTTACATTTCCCAGCTAACTTCAGATTACTGTGTGAAGGAGAAATGAATGTCTGTCTTTTTTGAGTCAACCTTGTTGTGAGGTTATTTTATCAAAGCAGGGTAGCCTGTACATACATACATATTTATACACACATATACACATACAGATATATGTACATAAATACACATTAATATATGGACACATACTTACACCTATATGTATATATTTGAGAGAAAAAGAATGAGAGAGGAAGAGAGACAGAGACAGGCACAGATACTATAATTTTGAGTATAGTATCTGGAATACTTCACTACAGTAAGCTTCATCAGATATTTCCAAATTGGTTATATGTGTAACTCCCATTGGTGGTTTTTGAGAGCCCTTGGCTCCCTACACCTTTGCTGATACTTGACATTTCTAGTGAAGATAGACTTTTCTCAGACCTCTCATTATTCCATATAAAGGTATTTCAGTTACATTAACAAAACTTTTCACTGGAGAATTTGCAACAGGTGGAGAAGGCACTGAGCATGTTCAGATGATCTTTCCTATTGTCCGATCTGTGTGCTTGAAGAGAGGGGAAATTTTGCTGTCTCAGAGATCTGTGAAAGATGTTGTGATGTTGGTTCTGCCCCTTTGCATGTGGCCTAACTTTGATCAGTGCTGCCTCTGACTGGGCAGAAAAGACTATCTAATTTAGAATGTGATACTAAGTCTGTTTGGCTGCACACTAAGGCCATGCTTTTCATTTATGCTTTTAGCAGTCATTGAGCTAAAATTTGGAAATCTATTATTTGATTTTATGTTCACACCTCAGGTGAGAAAGCAATGATTTTTTTAAAAACTGACCTCTTAAAACTCCAACTGACATTATAGAAATGTAAATATTTGGTTAATCTCATATTATTTTATTTCACATCTATGATTATTGATAAGGTTGAGTATATCTTTAGTTTATTAAACTTTTTTTTTGCTTAATGACCTGTTTATATCTTTTATCTAGCAAAATTAAATTTGTGGATACAGAGAAAACAGTTTTAAGAATTTTCTTTTTTATGTAATGTTATTAACTAAAACAAATCCCAGATAGGTAATAAGTTTTAAGGCAATAATATTTTTTAATCCATCCAAATAGACTAAGGAAATCGTCTACAAACAGTAAAGTGAGTTGCTCCCTCTCCCAAAAATAAATATTTTTGTTGTGTTATTCAATAACAGAAAATAACATTTATAAAGTTAAGGGAGAAAGAAAAGATATACTGACAATATTATATCCAGCCAAGATTTTACTAAAAGTATGACTACAATACATAGAAATTTTCAAAATTGAAGGAATTTGGCTATAAAATACCTAAGATACTGTTGAAAAAATTAAGATACAACTCAAAAAAGAATTAGAAAGCCACAGTAGAAGGACTAGAGATTGGTGGAGATGTTATTTAAATAGATAAATACTGAACAATTGACTAGTTATGGTTACAAAATAACCAAAATAATAAAACAGTAGTTAACTATTTCGCTTACTTAGTGAGGCAGATATACTATTATTCTTATTCAACGGATGAAGAAACTGAGGAATAGAAAAGTAAAATAATGAGATAAAATTTAGATAGCTATATGGCAAAGTTTTGATTGAATCTGAGCAATCTGAATCCACAGTCTATGCTATTTATTACCATACTATATAGAGCAGAAAGTAACACCTAAACTTGAAAGGGAGGAATAATTTAATTATTACAACAATTACTGGGAACAGTGAGATGAGAGAAAAAATTAGAAGATTATACTAATTCATTGTAATAAATGATCAATAAATACTGCCTAAAATTTAAAAGGTTTAACTGTTTTCTTAGCTATGTTTTTCATAATCTATTTTCTTAGTCTTCCAGAAATCTTTTAAGAAATTGTCTTTCATAAAGATTGAGTTTCAGATATTCTTTCAATCTAAATTCAGGATTTTTTTTTCTTTTAAATACAGAAAAAAAATTAATTTTATTTTATTTTGTAGTTTTTAATAAAGTATAATCTCTCATATAGTTTTCATTTTCATATACAATGTATATCTTATAATCTATTTTCTACCTGCATATGTGTAGTGAGATGCCAGGGGCTGGCTGGTATTAAACTGACTTAAATGGTCTGGGTAGAGAAATCCAACATTTTTGGTTTTATTTTTATTAAATTTTTATTAAGAATTATTTTTATAAGCTTGTGATATTTTTTATTGGTGTTGGATTTTTCTTAATTATATTTATTATTGACTCTTTATCCATAACTTTTATCTGTGTAAACATCTATATCTCTATTCTGCACGACTAGGTTTACAATTTTTTCCTGATTAGTTATGCATTGTTCATTACTTCACATCCACTTAGCATTTAAGCATTCTATCTAGGATATGCGTATCTGAATTTTTGTTTTCAAAGCGTGAATTCTTTATTGTTTATTGTACGCATTTAGTTTTCCCAAAGAGCTTGCATATTTGCTAAAGACTATCCCATGGTCCTGCTATGAAGTGAACAACTTGAGAGCAATTAATAAAATATAAGTTTTTGTATATCATAAAACAATCAAAATAAACTTTTCTAGTAAACACATTATTTTCACAGTCAAAATGTAAAAAAGAAAACAGTTTAATTTAAAGTATTACAATCTTGTTATCCTCTAATAGCCTCCCAAATTAGTTGATAAAGTTATTTAAATAATTTCATTAGGGTCATCTGTACACAGCATATTACATTGCCTTCTCCAAATTAACAGAGGTTTATGAAGTATTGATTATGTGCCAAACACTATGTGAAGTGCTCCATACATATCCCTCAATTTATTTCTCATAGCAATTACATTAAGTAAATATAAAGGCTGCGTTTTACAGGGAAACTGAGGCATAATTACTAAGTAATTTGCCTAAATTTATATATTAAAGAGTTATTAAATAGACAGGAGATACTGAAACCTATGTCTGACTCCAGAGTATGTAATTTTAACCATTACAATATATTGCTTCATAGATTGTTGATGTTTATGCATGTTTTGTCCTCATAAAGACATTAATGAAACACAGCCACAGCAGCTTGTAAACTCTGAAAATGCGCTGGAGCTCCTGGAATGTTCTCAGTTATGGTGGAGTTCATGTTTGTGGCTATGGCAAAGAAGAATGGGAATTTTAGCCTGTTCTGTTAGAATTAAGGGACAGCTTCCTTGGTATGAAGTGATGGCTGCTCTTGAAAGTTCATAAAAATAATAGAGACTTTGATCTTAAGAACAATGAAAAAAATCATAAATAGTTTCATAAAACAGATCAAGCTGCATATTTTGAACATTCCAGAAAAAAAAAAACCTCTGATTTTCAACTTCCTGTTTTCTTAGTATTTATCCATAGTCTGAACATGGGTGACAGAAAGAGCAGAGAGGAGAGTGCGCAGAAAGTGACGTCATCCACAACTTTCATGGAGATCAATTTCGAAGGCTATAATTAATCTACTGCTATTTTGTGGCATAAGTGACAACTTTAGCCAGGAGGAATAAGTTAATTGTTTGGCAATCATGGAATAAAAAGCAGTGTATTGTAGAGTGATTACCCCTTTATGCCTTAGGTGGCATAATATAGCATTAATTCTGAAAAACATTCTTACCAACCAAGAATTGCATAAGACTTTGTGCAAATTAGTTTGATGACACCTAATTGGTATTATGAAATTAAATTTGTAAATAAACATATGGGAATTAGTCAGTTTCATGCTGCTTGTAACTGACATTGGTAGAATATTATTATAGTCAATTATAGAATATTAAGAATTCACTATTCCTATTTTGTTGTCTTGAAAATTTCTGTTCATATAAAATGAGTCAGTCATCACAATTGTGAAGAAAATGTTTAAAAATATTTGCCAATTTAATGGACATTTAAGAAAGTAGTCTCTCCTTTTTGTAATTTCCCAGCGTCTTGCTTTTGTAATGAAAGTTACACAGAAAGCTGAGCTGTGATATTGAGCACATAGTGCATTTTCTGAAAATTTGCCAACTTAATTTGAATTCTGTGTATTTCAGACTGTCTTTTTGTATAGTGGTATCTGAGTAAGAAGATACACAAAATTTCAGACATTACCGTGGTACTATGTGTTATTAATTCCACTTTTATGGGAACTATTAGAAAGTTTTATCTCTAACAGGTGCATATTTAAGTTACTGATAAATGAAAATTAAATACTGCTTTTTATCATTTTTTTAGTAAGACTAAAAATTAAAGATTGGGGTAGAGAAACTAACTTCTTTGAGAACTGTGTTTATAACTATTCATTTAAATTTTAAACCTATGTGAATGACCTCTAATAATGAGATGAAAATGATACTTGCATAAAAGATATTGTGATAAATTTACCATAAGAACTTAAAATTTATTCCTAATTTTTGACATTGGTCTCATGAGTAAAATATGAATGTACTTACTAACAAAGTCTCATTTCTTCTTCTATTATTGAATCATATGACGTATATGCAGAGGAAATGTATGCTGAGTTATACAGGCAGTGAAATAAGCAGGAAGAATTATGCATATAGCATTGTATATATCTATCTTTAGAAACATAATTCTCCAAAAGTGAAATTAGTCATGTTTAAATTTTAAGAATTTGAACATCTAATCTATCTTAATGCAACATTATTTGCAGCTACAAACCAAGAAATATAAAGTATCTCTTTATTCACATTAAGTGTAAGAACTATAGTAAGAACTATAGTGTAAGAACACATAGTAAGAACTATGTTTTGAGCATTTATTAATAATAAACATTATTGTTTTAATATACAAATATGTTAACCTTTACTAATAAAGTCAGAGTCCATGGAGTGAGAAGGAAAAATTTAAACTATTACTAAATAAGCCTCTCAAAGAGGAAACCACGAACTGGTATTGATATTACAAGAAGGTCTTCTAATTCAGCCTGGTGACTCTGGTCACATCTCAAGAGTGAGACTTGGGTTTTAGTATCTCTTTTCTTTCACTAACTATATAACATTGAGATAAATTATTTACTAACTACGTCTTGATTTCCATATGCTATGCTTTGAACAGGTTTCCCTCACCCCCAAAATTATATGTTGAAAACTTAATTATTAATGCAATAGCATTGAGAGGTAGGACCTAATGGATTAATAACATTATAAAAGGAATTTGCCAGGCTAGGTTTGCCCTTTTCTGTTCTTCCATGTGTGGATGTCAGGAGAAGACCATCACCAAATACAAACACCATGATCTTGGACTCCCTAGCCTTCAGAGCTGCTGCGATAAATACATTTCTGTTATTTATACATCACCCATTCTCAAATATTGTGTTACAAAGTGGACTAAGACATCATGTAAAATGGAGATAATACTCATAATTATTTAATATAATTGCTACCAGGACTAAATATGCAATGTATAAAGTACTTGTCATAGTCCTTTGCACATAATCAGTGCTTAATAAATCTTAAGTTACTTTTTCTCTTGGTAATAATTATCAGTCTTACAATACTCCCTCTCTCTCTGTCATTCTTACACCCACACAAACACTCAAACATATATTGAAAGTCCTCATACAACATTCTGTCTTCCCATCCCAAATTTTTAGTGCCCCACTCCTCATGCTAGTTTACTCTTCAGACTACCTCTGTTACAAAAAGTTTTTGAATAGTATGTCAAACTATTGTATAACGTTGAATATTACGGTCTAAGTCAGAATAAAAACGAATGCTAGATCACTGAATTTGACCTGGGATAGAAGTAGATGAGGATTTAGAAGTTAATAGCAAGGAAATGGAATGAAAGTCAAGGGAAAATCCAGGTTTGAAATAGTCAATGTTCAGTGCTGACAATTTTAAGGTCTTCTTCTATCTTCTTTTTAGTCCCTAGAAAATAAATCTCTATCGCTTGAGTCATTGCCTGAGTGAAAGGAGAAGGAATAGTTCAGAAAAGATAACTGAGCCCCTCTTTCCATTCATACTACCTTCTCCCTTTGCCTCCTGAAAGGAGATAACAATTTACCGCAGTGGAAGTGCATATAGGGGTAACATAGGTATAATATAAGATCTTGGACAACTAAAAGGCTCCTTATATCCTTGAAAGTTCTTCTTTCAAGAAATTGCATTTATGGGCTGCATAGCCTTTGATTATAAGATTATATTTTTGAAAGCTTAAAACTCAAATAATTTCTTCTGAACACATCAACATTTCTTTCTATGCTAACTATAATAATGTTATAATAAAATACCATATAAGTATGAGGTAGACAGATTAAATTGAAAAAGAAATAGAAAATGCAAGAATCAAAATTTGGTAGTGTAAGACTTAAAAATTTTACCTTGGACTAACATTGTTGATGTTTACAAAAATCTGTTGCTATTTACGTATCTACAGTCTGTCAAATGTAAAATGTGTAGGAAAATATTCCATGCCTTGCCGAATATGAATAAAATACTTTAACAGATTCCTCAATGAATAAACCTTTCTGTCCGAAGCTAGGGATTAGAGTCTCGTTGCTTAATTTTAAACATGAAAAGTGAGAGAAAAGTAATTAAGTCTGGAATATAATCAAAGAAGGAAACTATCCAAGTTAATCTAGTTTCTAAATTATCCTTTTTCCATTAGCAATATTTAGTTTTGAGGGTTTTTCCCCCCTCTGGAGAATAGAGGAACATGTATTTATCTAAATGAAGGTACCTACTTATCATGTTTGCTTTACCAATATACATGAAAGCCTTCCTAATTCACCCACAGACACAATATCTACGTCCCTGAAATAATACATTTTAAAATTTTTAGATGAGGTAAATGAACAAATACCCTAGGGGACTACAGATTGCATCATATATTCCAAACACTGTGCCAAGTAACTCTAAGCCTCAGCTTTCACAGTAGAAGGGAATGTCTAGATGCATCTTTACTTTGATTATCTAAATTACAATTTCAACACAAGTAAAATCATATGACTCACAAGTTTTTTCCAGAGCATGAAACAATACTTTCTTCTATTTTAAATTAATATTATTAGCACTTAGAACAAAAAAAGGTAAATTTAAAAAATGAACTGGAGGGAGACGGTCACAATTACATAGCACTGCCAAATCAAGTTCTTATAATCATTAAAGGGCTGAGAAAATGTAAACTAATTCCTCATGGACAGCAATCTGGAAAGACAATCAACAAAGTGAAAAGTGATGATTTCTAAATTATGACAATTTATCCTGGCCAACAAAAGATTATGTGCTTTCTATGCTTTTGTAATACATGTAAAAAAGTTCTCCTTTGGAAATATTAATAGCATGATTAATTTTAATCTCTGGCTCTGATACACTAGCTATGCAGGCTTGTGTTAAGTCATTGTTTTCTTTTTTTTTTTTCTTTTTGAGACGGAGTCTTGCTTTGTCGCCCAGGCTGGAGTGCAGTGGCGCCATCTCGGCTCACTGCAAGCTCTGCCTCCCGGGTTCACGTGCCATTCTCCTGCCTCAGCCTCCAGAGTAGCTGGGACTACAGGCGCCCACCACCACGCCCGGCTAATTTTTTTATATTTTTAGTAGAGACGGGGTTTCACTGTGTTAACCAGGATGGTCTCGATCTCCTGACCTCGTGATCCGCCCGTCTCGGCCTCCCAAAGTGCTGGGATTACAGGCGTGAGCCACCACGCCCGGCCCATTGTTTTCTTATCCGTATGAAGGAGACATGATAATTTCATGCTTACAATGTTTAAAATAAATAATATATTTAAAGTAACATAATGTCTGGCACATACTAAACAAATGCTGGCTTATATGACATAAATCAATGTTGGTTTATGTATAACAAAGCCTAGTTTATTAAAGAAACCTTCGCTGACAATTTTTTTTATTTTCACAAAAACAATAAAAGCAAGCATTGCCTATAGATTTAATTTTTCTTTCAAAAAATTTGCTATAAAAGAGTATTCTTTTTTATTGTTAGGTTGACGGAAAGTGAACTGAATATGTCAATCAAATTTATGATTTTTGCTGCTGAAATATGGGACTTGGGTATTAGATATAAAGTGTAATGTCTTGATCTGTCTAGGATATCTTTATCAATATCCGGTAGAAAGCCTCTCTCACACTTTCATCCATTCATGACAAGGCAATATTAATTACATATTTTTAGGTCAAAATTGGAATGCCTTTCTCTAAATACATTAAGGGAACCTAGAAAATGATATATGTAGAATGGTGACATATTTTTCTGCCATAAAAGTGTATAGATAAGTGAAAGTTGATAATTTTTTTTGGCAAGTTACTTATGACGAATGCCAGCCTAATGTGTTGGCTACATAAATAAAATAGAAGTAAAAAAATAAACATAGATGTTTTAAAAGAGACAGAAAAGACTGTTAGGCAATTGAAGGAAAGATATGTAAATAAGGAAGCAAAAAAAAGTTTATTCCACTTTAAAATATTCATTTATTGAGTGTATTTTAATAATAAGTAGTGCTCAAATAGTCAATTAAAATTCAGAAACATTTTTAAGAAATACTTTGTCTAAAATGATTACTTTGTATGCAACAACTATTTCTTCTGCAGGAACAAATATTCTAGAATATTATTCGAATTAGAATATTTTAGAATATTATAATTAGTAGAATATTTTTTCTACTCACATTCTAGTTAACTCCATATTTCCCAGATTACTTTTTTTCACCTTTCTTTACAGAAGCATAAATGACTCACTTTATCACTTACAACTAACTATTAGTATGGAAAGAGTAGTTTGTAATATCTGAGCTTCAACTTATACATCAATGGTATTCAGTAATATTATATAGCATAGATAAAAGCTCCTAAAATGTTAAGGGCATGGAAAAATTTTCATGGGCTAATAAATTGAATGACCCTCTTTATAAGAATCTTTGAATAATTAATCACACTTTCTTCAAAATTGGCTAATGTCTAATAGAACATTATTTCTTGACTGCTAACTTGAGGTTTGTGGGGTTCAATATTTACTAAAAAATTAAAGACTTCTGCTTTACTATTTTCAATTGAAGTTACATCAGATAGCCTTTAATTGGGAAGAAGACATTTTACCCGTGTCTTAACTGTGTAAAATATTTATCCATGAGTAGAAAAAAATGGTCAATTTTCTTCATTTACTCTTATAGAAATTGGCTTTAAAAATGTTTTATAAATTTTGGAAAAGCGGTTTGACAGTATTCAGTGGCAATAGAAGCCCTACTTATATCAAATACACCATACATTCTGTTCATTTGTTAAGGCAGTATACACAAGCTTAAATCAAGTGATGCTTTTCCAAATATTTCCCTAGTTAAACACTTTTAAAAGAGTTGCCAAGATTTTGACCATAACCGAACATTAAAGTAATCGGTGTAATGCTTCCTAACATGTCCCTAAAGTGTTTTTGGAATGGTATCATTACAGCTACTTTTCAACTCTGAACCATGAAAGCTTATACAAATATTTCCACAACCTGCTCTCTCTTAATTTCATTTTCTTGGCATCTTGGAGCTGTATATTTTCTAGCCCTGTACATTTGTAGCTTTTAATAACATCGTGATATTTCTTCAGTGGTTTTGAGTGTTAGAGGAGATATATATCAAGAATGACCATCTAATCCCATGAAATTTAAGTTGCAGTGTAATTTTTCCATAGCAACATATCAATACACTGGTTTTTTGGGTGTGATGATTTACATGGAAAGTTTCATGAGAACAGAAAGGGACAAAAATGAAACTAATTGATGACAGGCTTGGTGTTATTGATCATACGTATAATTTTACTCTTAAGGAAGTAGATCAATGTAGAGATGGAATGTCAAAATATTTACTTTTCACAATGCTATTAAATTTCACTAATAGGAGTAGAGACAATTATATGAAATCTAGATATTTGATATCTAGATAGCATAATAAATAGTAAATAATGTTCATTCTGACTCAAGGTATTTTACTAATTACATGTAGAGATTATTGATCATATATTATATTAATAAATGCTAATTAAGTACACATTCCTTTTATAATTGAAGATTTTTGTACAAACAATATTTTTGTAATTATAAATGTAGGTTTGCTATTATAACCCACTAATTAAAAGCTTATTTTTTCCCAATTGGCTTGAAGAATCCAACTACAGAGATGTTTTAATTTAAATTTGCTGTTTGATATTAACCTCCAATTTTATCAAATTAGAGGTATTAGAAAAAATACAAAATAGAAAAAAATGGGAGAGAAAAGTCTTACTGCTTGAGACACATTTAAGGTACCACAATTATTTCTAAATCTTACTCTATAAATTTATCACCAAGTCACTAAAGCAAATTCAATCAGTACTTTGGCTATAAGTGCATTTTAGAACGTCATTAAGCTGGTTACATCAACATCAGTTAAATTCAGGATTTGATGTGTAGTCTAGATGAAAGATTTTTTTTATATTTGGATTTGACTTAGCAGGTGTAAACTTTTCTCTATTATTTAATTCATTAAGCTTTCTTATTGAAAGTTAGCTTGATTTTATCCATAAAATGTTTAATGTAACATAATGTTTTGAATTAGCTGAACAACATAGTTACATAGTTATATCATTTATATATCATGTTAGATGATTTATTTAATGAAAAATATTCTCAAAAAAGGGAGCAAATTTCTACTTCATGGGAACAAATTTCTACTTCGTGGGAAGCAAATTTCTACTTCATCACACTGAAAAATTAAAAGTGGGCGTGGGCTGAGGCGGGCGGACCACCTGAGGTTAGGCGTTTGAGATCAGCCTCGCCAACACGGCGAAACTCCGTATCTATAAAAATACCAAAATTAGCCGGGCGTGGTGGCGGGTGCCTGTAATCCCAGCTACTCGGGAGGCTGAGGCAGGAGAATCACTTGAACCTGGGAGGCAAAGGTTGCAGTGAGCCGAGATCACACCAATGCACGGAGCCTGGCAGACAGAGCGAGACTTTGTCTCAAGAAAAAAAAAAAATTGGGCATGGTGTTCCCTGTTAAAACACATGTAATGAAATGAGTACTGCTACATACTATTGCTGGAAAGACACATATAAATCACTCTTTAGAATGGATATGTAGCAGTAAGCTTTTCAGAAATTAGGTAGGTAGAGTTTTAGTTCAAAATACACTTTTAAGTCTCTACTCTGCTCAATCACATACTCAAAGGAATAAGTACAAGCATTTTACATCAACATTCTTTATTAATTATTTTTTCTACCGCAGGGTAAATATGGAGAGATAAATGAGTAAAAGAAGGTTCATCTACAGTGTCCAGCCATTTGAAAAGAAGCAGACATTGACTAAAAATATGTGATTACCAGCATATATATTTAACTAGACATTTTTCTAGGCTGGTAATTTACTACTTACCTTTCCTTGTCTCATTTACTTATTTATTTTGCTACAGAATTAACTTTTGGATTAAGAATAAAGAACATTATTGTTATGATAACTAAAAATCACAAGGTATGTAATTTTTTAATAATATTAAATACTTGAAATTCTACTTTTAACACATTCAAATAGACAAATCTTTTCAAACAATGAATTAGGTTAAGATGTCAAATAAGTGTTCGAGTATGTTAGCTCATGACACATAAAAAATGACATATTAATTTTTTAATATCAATTTGAAATTAACTTTTTATTAATACATACAATATTTTGCTCTCCGACTAAACCAAATGCTTTGAGGAGATTTAAAAGGGAGGAAATAGCTACTATGTATATATGGATATATATAGTAAATATTTTATTAAAATATAGGTAATTAAATGTAGTTTCATATATGTACATATGTTCTCACCTTTTTTTGGAGGACAGAAGTTATTTTGGCATATGATAGATTTGGTTGTTATATTTCATTGCAGTGCTAATTGACTCATAGTTTTCCTCAAGTTAATTAGAATCTTATTTGCCTATACTTCAATTTTATTACTATTTGATTAATAACTGTTAGTCTTTTATAGTGGAAATATAGAACAGTTTTTGTATCATTTCTCTACAGTGAACATCAAAACTTTAATCATTCTAGTTTACTAAGTTAAACATCACTATTTTATCTGAATAGACACTTTCAAACTGTAAACATTTGATATATTTAAATAGTATTTAAAGTCTCCGCTTGGTTACAAAATAACATGTGTAAAATAAGATTGAAAAAAAGTTGCTTCTATAAATGGCTGAGTAGATTTATTTTTGCCCTAACTCTTCTGTTTGAAAAAAGTGAGGAAAAAATAGACAAAAGCAATTATCTCTTCTTGTATGAAACTCGCGTCAAATAAGGGAGAATTTGTTGCATTAAGAACAAGGAGGTGGGGTGCGGTGGCTCACGCCTGTAATCCCAGCACTTTGGTAGGCCCAGGCGGTGGATCACGAGGTCAGGAGTTCGAGACCAGCCTGACCAACATGGAGAAACCTGTCTCTACTAAAAAAAAAAAAAAAAAAAAAAGAAAGGAAAAAAAATTAGCCAGGTGTGGTGGTGTGCACCTGCAATCCCAGCTACTCAAGAGGCTGAGGCAGGAAAATCGCTTGAACCTGGGAGGTGGAGGTTGCAGTGAGCTGAGATGGTGCCATTGCACTCCAGCCTGGGTGACAGAGGGAGACTCCATCTCAAAAAAAAAAAAAAAAAAAAAAAAAAAAAAAACCAAGGAGATATGCCTAAAACATTAAGCCCCACATTTGGGACTGATTTAATCCTTAGGAAATATTCTACTCCCTAAAATGGTAGCATAGAAGATGAGAAAACAGAGTGGTTTATAGATTCATGGGTCAGACACCAAATAGACTTCAGGGTTCACCGAAGTGGAAACATGTGGGTGAAATTTCTTGCTTTTTTTTTTTTTTTTGTGGGATCCTGAAGAAGTACAAACTAGGAATAACAATAAGATGCAACTAAAGTGTCTCTCCTGAATTGACACATATATTCAAATAATTTTCTTTTCTGAGTGTATTAAGAAACTATTGAGTCTGCTAAAACAAAATGTAACCATAAACATAGTGGGCAATACACCATAAAAATAATCTGATATCTAATAATAACTTCAAAATAACTATTTTAAAACATAAATAGTAAATGTTAATCTCATAACTAACAGAAAACAATGAAAAGTACAGGAAAGAAAATAACAAAAAATCCTCAATTAAAATGTAGTACAAAGCATAAAAATGGAATTATTCAGTGACAGATTTACCAGGGATTAAGCAGACCTGTAGAGAAAATTATAAAACAGATAGATAAAACTGAATAAATATCCAGAATGAGGTACAGAGAGATAAAACTTGGGAATGTATAAAAAGTGTACAAGATTGACATGAAGTACCAATTTATGTATAATTTGAATCCCAGAATAAGAAGAAAAAGTGCCTTCTGGAATAAATAGAATCCAAAATAGAATTATCTGGGAGATAGCCTGCAAAAGAACTTATATGAACATTTGCCTGGAAATGTTTAATTAGTTGTTAAAATCCAACCATTGGCTAGTGTGTGAGTAGGAAGCCCACAGTGACCCCGGACTCAGAAGTTTACACACTTTTGTAAGCTTTTTTTCCCAGGCAGCCCACATTATATGAAAGGTAGGGATAAAAGTAGAGCTTGACTCCTTTTCCGTTGAAAGTGCACTGCTAATGACTGACTTCTAATAAACAGACTGGAGAATTATAAAAATAGTAACCTTAGAATGGAAAAACCTGATAGATATTCCTTCATCCAAATAATTAAGATGAACATCACTCATAATGAATTTTATGTATATCATATAGCCCCGATGTGTTGTAATGAAAAGAGCACATAACTTTTGTGATATTCTTTTTAAAAAACATAAGCTTAGTATAATCATAAGAAAACTTCAGATAAATCCAATTTGAAGAACATTCTTCAAAATGCTTGGTCATTACTCGTCAATAAAAATGTCAGATAGAAATGCTAATTTTTAGTCACAGAAAAATGGTTATTTTGAGGACAGAATATGGTATTGATTGTGAAGGAACATGACTAAACCATGTACAGTGCTGCAAATATTCAGTTTCTGATGGAGGTGGTAATGATGGATAGGTTGGTCTGTACAAGTATATATGTATATATGTATAAATTTACCATATATATGTATAAATTCACCAAGCTGTACAATTAAGACTCATTTACTTTAGTCATGAAGGAACATGACTAAACTATGTACAGTGCTGCAAATATTCTGTTTCTGATGGAGGTGGTAGTGGTGGATACGTTGGTCTATACAAATATATACATGTATATGTATAAATTCGCCAAACATATATATGTATAAATTCATCAAATATATATATATAAATTCATTAAGCTGTACAATTAAGATTCGTTTACTTTACATACCTCAATCATTTAAACACAGATAATTTTATACTTCAATAAAAATGTTAAAGATAGTAACAAAGGAATGTTAAAATGAAACACTCCTAAAAGACACAGAGGTCACCTGAGTAAATGGGAAACCATCTTCACTTCTTCAATAGGATAACTTAGCCATGTAAAATTTTTCTGCAAATGAATATGCAAATTTGGTACAATCCAAATATAAATACAAAGTTTTATTGTCTGTGTTTTATTGTCCTCCCGGAAGTGACAAGATGATTGTAGAATTTATATAGAAAAACAAGCATTTCATGTAATAAAAGATATTTAATAAAAATGCTAATGAAAAGGTAAACATCCTTTCCAAATATTAAAATATTTATAAGGCTTCCAAAATTGAAGTGGTGCACTAGTATATAAATAGACTGACTGACCAGGGGAACAAAATATAAAGTCCAGAAAGGGAAATAAGTACATTGCAAAATCCAATTCACAGGATCTTTTAATAGCCATTTGGAAGTAATAAAACCTGACTCGTGGCTCATGTTAAACAACACAATATTTTTGTTACTGGAAAGAGATCTGTATATTAAAAACATAAATATATTAATTAAAACATGAATTGGCTGACATATCTGAACACAGAAAAAAGCTTCCAACTATAACTTAAAATTGAGATGAAATTTTTAAAATTTTGATAAATTTTCTTACAACTTATTAAAAAAGGATTTCATAATGAAACAAAATCACAAACAATGTCAAAGTAAAATATTAAATGAGAGTTCTCACAAACGAAACAATATAGGGCAAAACAAAGAGTTTACATCAAAGCATACAAATCACTCCTACACACATGAAAAGTAAACCCCAATCACTTACAGTAAGAGAAAAGCAAATTAAGTTATATTGAGGTGCCACTTCTCAACCTTTTCTTTATAAATATGCAAACACTTGGGCCAGGCGCAGTGGCTCACGCCTGTAAATCCCAGCACTTTGGGAGGCCTAGGTGGGTGGATCACGAGGTCAGGAGATGGAGACCAGGCTGGCCAACATGGTGAAACCCTGGTCTCCACTAGAAATACAAAGTTACTGGGCGTGGTGCCACGTGCCTATGATCCCAGCTACTCAGGAGGGTGAGGCAGGATAATCACTTGAGCCCGGGAGGCAGAGGTTGCCATGAGCCGAGATGGCGCCATTGCACTCCAGCCTGGGTGACAAGAGGAAAACTCCGACTCAAAAGAAAAAAAAAAAGAAATATGCAAATACTTGGCTGGGCGCGGTGGCTCATGCCTGTAATCCCAGCACTTTGGGAGGCCGAGGTGGACGGATCACGAGGTCAGGAGATCGAGACCAACCTGGCTAACATGGTGAAACCCCGTCTCTACCAAAAACACAAAAAATTAGCCGGGTGTGGTGGCTGGCGCCTGTAGTCCCAGCTACTCGGGAGGCTGAGGCAGGAGAATGGAGTGAACCCTGGAGGCAGAGCTTGCCGCGAGCCCAGATCATGCCACTGTACTCCTGCCTGGGTGACAGAGCGAGACTCCGTCTCAAAAAAGAAAAAAAAAGAAAAAAAAGAAATATGCAAACACTTGACAGTAAACAATTTTAGTGAGACAGTGAGGGAAACAAGCACTCTCTCATACAATGCCAGTAAAAGTAAAAAGTGGTAAAACACATATGGAGGCAAATTCGCAATATATAACTACATTCTTTTTTGTTGTTATTTTGACGGAGTTTCTTTTTTGTAGCCCAGGCTGGAGTGCAATGGCGTGATCTTGGCTCACTGCAACCTCCACCTCCTGTGTTCAAGCGATTCTCCTGCCTCAGCCTCCCAAGCAGCTGGAATTACGGGCGCCTGCCACCATGACTGGATAATTTTTATACTTATTAGTAGAGAGAGGGTTTCACCATGTTGGCCTGGCTGGTCTCGAACTACTGACCTCAGGTGATCCGCCCGCCTTGGCCTCCCAAATTGCTGGAATTACAGGCGTGAGGCTCCATGCCCACCCACCTATATATGCATTTACCCTTTAAAACAGTAAGACAACCATCCAAAATCTTTTTTTTTTTTTTTTTTTTTTTTTGGAGGTAGGGTTCTCATTCTGTTGCCCCAGGCTGGAGTGCAGTGGCGTGACTGACCATGGCTCATTACAGTCTTAACCCTAGGCTGATGTGATCCTCCTACCTCAACTTCTCCAATAGCTGGGACTACAGGCATGCAGCACCACGTCCTTTCCATTATCTTAATATTTTTAAAATTAAGGAAATGGTTAAAATTTGATCAGTAGAAAGGGAAATTTATAGTACTAAATGCACACAAGAGAAAACATTGAAACCAATAACCCAAGCACCTACCTCTAGATACTAGAAAAAGAAAATAATTAAAAGCAAACGGAAAAAAAGAGTGAATAAACAGAAAAACATTAAAAAATAGAGAAAGTTAATGACACAAAAATTGACTCTTTAAAAGATGAATACAATTGGTATGATTGTAGATTACCAAGAGACAGATGTAGATAGAAAGAGGGAGATAGAGAGAGAGCTCAAATGATCAATATCACGAATAAAACAGAGGATATTACTACAGATGCTGCGAACATTAGCATAATAAAAAAGAAACACTGCAAACAATTCCACCCAAACAATTTTGACAATTAGGTGAAACAGAACAATTTCTTGAAAAACACAAATGCAACCCACCCAATAAGAGAGAAAATTTAAATAACCCTATAATTAATAAAGACATGTATTTGAAATTAAATAATATGTTTCAAAAAATAAATCCTCAGTTTCAGATTGGTTCATTGAAGGATTATTCAATATACATAAATTGATAAATGTGATGTATCACATCAGCAGAATGAAAGACAAAAATTATGGTCATCTCATTAGATGCAGAAAAAGCACTGGGCAAAATTCAACACATTCATAATAAAAACTCTCATCAAATTAGGTATAGAAGGAATGTAATTCAATAAGTAAAGACCATATATGAGAAGCCTGCAGCTAACATTTTACTCAATGATAAAAACTTGAAAGTCAGTCGTCTATTTGGAACAAGATACCAACGCCCACTCTGAGCATTTCGAATCAATGTAGTTATCCATGTGCTTGCCAGAGAAATTAGGCGTGATAGATAAATAAAAGGCATTCGAAAAGAAAAGAAAGAAGTGAAACTGTAACTGTTTGCTGATAATTTAATCTTATATTTTAAAACCCTAAATAATCCACCAAAAAACGTTTAGAACTAATAAACAACTGCAGTAAAGTTACAGGATACAAAATCAACCTACAAAAATCAGCAGCATGTCTATATACCAATAAATAAGTTATTTGCAAAAGAAATCAAGGGAAAAATCCCACCTACAATAGCTACAAAAAATAAAATACTTAGGAATAAATTTAAGCAAGGAAGTGAAGGATCTACGCACCAAAACTATAAAACATTGATGAAAAAATTTGAAGGAGACATGAATAAATGGAAATATATCCCATGTTCATGGATTTGAAAAACTGCCATTGTTAAAATATACATACTACCCAAAGAAATCTACAGGTGCTATATAATCCCTATCAAAATTCCAATGTCATATTTCTTAGAAATTGGAAAAGCAGTCCTAAAATTCACATAGAAACACACAAAAAACTTGAATTGACAAGCCAATCATATGCAAAAAAGAACAAATCTGGAGTCATTATACTACCTTGTTTCAAACTACAGTACAAAACTGTGTTAATTAAAACAACATCATATTGGTAACAAAGATAGCTACATAACTAATGACACACAATAGAGAGCTCAGAAATGAATCTACACCCATACATACAAACAATTGGAATACAACAAAAGTGCCACAAATATACAATAGAAAAGGATAGTCTATTCAGAAAACAGTTTGTAGAAACTGGATATCTATATGCAGAAGAATAAAATTGGTCCCTTATCTAACACAATATATAAAAGAATATGGATTAAATACTTAAGACAAGAAACTGTAAAACTACAAGGAAAAAAATGTGTGCAGAGATAAAGTACATGACATTTGTCTGAGGCAATTATTGTTTTGATTTGACACCAAAAATAAAGGCAATAAAACAAAAAGTAGTCAAATGAAATTATATCAAACTAAAAAGTTTCCGCACAGAAAATAAAAACAGCATGAAGAGAAAACCTATGTATTGAAAGAAGATGTTTGAAAACCACACATTTGATAAGAGGTTAATATCCAAAATATAAGCATCTCAAAAAATTCAATAGCAAGAAAACAAAGAACATAATCAAAAAATAGGCCAGAGGCCTGAATAGATATTTCTCAGAAGAAGACATACAAATAGCCAACAGATATATTAAAAAATACTGGATACTGCTAATAATTAGGGGAATGCAAATTAAAACTACAGTGAGATATCTCACAATTGCCAGAATGGTTTTATCCAAAAGACAACAGATAAGTGTTGATGAGGATATGAGGAAAAGGGAACACTTGTACACTGTTGGTGAGGATGTAAATTAGAACAGCCATTACAGAAAACTCTTTGGAGGTTCCTCCAAAAACAAAATAGAATTGCCATGTGATCCAGAAATTCCACCTTTGGGTATTTATGTAATAGATCTGAAAGCAGTTTGTTGAAGAGAAGTCTGCACTGTCATGTTCATTGCAGCAATATTTATAATAGCCAAGTCGTGAAATCAACCTAAGTGTCCATCAAAAAATAAATGAATAAAGAAAATGTGGTATTTATACACAACGAAATACTATTCACCCATAAAGAAGAAGGAAATTGTCATTTGTGACAATATAGATGTAATTGGAGAACATCATGCTAAGTGAAATAAACCAGACACAGAAAAACAGTATGTGATTTTCTCACATATGTGGAATCTAAAACAATTGAACTCATAGAAGCAGAGAGTAGAATAGTGGTTACAGCGGATAGGGTGGAGGAATGGGAAGATGCTTGTCAAAGGTTACAAATCTCATCTAGGAGGCGTAGTTTTATTTTTTTGAGATCTATTGTGCAGCATGGTGAATACCATTAATAATAGCATATTGTGTATCTCAAAATAGCTGAGAGTACATTTCAAATTTTCTCACCACACACACACACACACACACACACACACACACACACACACAATAATTAGGTTAATTTAATTATTTCACACTGTATTAATACATTATGGCATTATCCCATATTCCACAAAGACATACAATTATAATTGTCAATTTATAGTAAAATTATTTTAAAATAATAAACACTAACTTGGGAATGTTAATATTAACCTGACAGACATTTTGAATGTATTAGTAAAGCTTTTGTAACAAAGAAAAATAAGCACATGAGTGGTTTCTTTGTGGAAACACTAAGATGTAGAGAATAGAAAAAGAGTACTCTATTATATAAGTTTGTACACACAACAGTCTTCACACACAGCACAGTCAACTTGGAATCTAAGCTGTTTACTAAAAGATCATATCTATGATATGAATAAGATACATCACCTAGAGAAAATCAGTCATTCTGTATAATAAGGGGAAGAAAAGCAGTTCTAGGCATGAGGAGATGGATATCGAGAGAATGTTAAGTCTCAGAGAAATATCTGCAAAATTTAGATCAAGTTTTGTTGCCATTACTTTTCCACATGGGCAGTTGAGATTTTGAGAAAGCAATGATCTAGGAGATAATCACTTGGATAGGCATACAGTGAAAGAAAACAGAATTTTGTGAGCTCAGAAATTGCTAAGTTACAATAGAAAATTTTGCCTTAAAACAGCCTGCATGTCATCACAACATTAAAAGATTTCCTCAGAAACTAGTTTGACAAAAAATTAAAGAAGATAGAAACATATAGGTAGACAATAGATATATAGATGATAGATAGATGATAGATAGATAGATAGATAGATAGATAGATAGATAGATAGATAGAAGGTAAAGATGGGTAATTTAGTTGTCAACTGGACTTGGCCACAGAGTGCCCAGATAACTTGGTCAGGCATTTTTCTGGGTATTTCCATGACAGTTTTTGGGTGAGATTAACATTTTAATTGGTAGAGTAAAACAATGCTGTCAGAATGTAAAAGGGTCTCATGCAATCATTTGAAAGCCCAAATAGAACAAGCAAACTGACTCTCCCTTGAGTAAGAGGAAATTTTTCAGCAGACTGCTTTTGAACTTTATCTCCATCATTAGTTCTCCTGAATTTTGAGATTTCTGGCCCAAACTACACATTTGATCTGCTCTATTATTGTGTGAGGTGATTAATATTTTTATATACCTACACACACATCCTGTTGTTTATTTTTTTCTCTGAGGAACCTTGACAGATAGAAGACAGATAGATAGATAGATAGATAGATAGATAGATAGATAGATACACAAGTACATGATTTCATGGCATAAAACTATGAAAAAAACAAATTTGAGGTTATAAAAATGTAATTTTAATGATAGTTACTTTTTATTATGGCATATAAATACCATAGCTATACAAGTGTTGAAAAGTTGAAAAATGTTATATAAGAAGTGGGAGTGAGATGTCTAACAAGGAAAATGCAAGCATATCAGGAAAGAATATTTAAATATTTAAATTACCTAGGCTTACAAAAAACATTGAGATAAATTTAATTGTCACATATTTAAGAAAAAGTAAATAATTTACTGCGTGACTTTGAGTATGTCAGATAATCTTTCTTGCCTCTGTTTTCTCATCTATAAAGTGAAAATAATAATTATTCTTGGGTCGTGGGAAATTTGTGAGAAATAAATAATTAATAATGTATATGTCAAGGAATCAGAACAGAGTCAAAAGTATGTGCAATGTCATTATTAATTATTGTAAACATAAATTGGATTCTCGTTTTGTCAGAAATTTTGATAATATTGAAGTGTCTAGAAACGTGCGATCATTTAAGTCTCTTTCCAACACTGTAATCTATGATTTCGAAAATGAGTTCTGAGTAATTTTGACAAACATAATTGCCTTAATCAAATTCAAATATTTGGATGAATACATAGTCTCATCCAAATGGATAAGACTCATCTCTTTTGATGAGTACATAAGAAATAAGTACATATTTCTTATACGATATTACACATTATTCTAAATTTATTTTCTTGACTTTGTAGGCTGTAACAAAATATTGCACGTTCAGCCAAATTTGAGCTATCTCTTTACTATCCCTTACTTTTTAAAATATTTCAGCATGAATGGCCATTCATGCATTTATGTTTCCAAATGTAGCACACATGGGTCAAGCAAATATAAATATCTCACCTTGCTCCAAACGCTGATGCTTTCAAGTGTAAATAAAATAAAGAGTCTGATACCACCCCATATGCCATGGTGCTATTTTCATATCATAATTTCAAACTCTGAGCACTAAAATATACTCTGATTTCTCCTCATTAATTTTTGCCAACCCCCGAATAAGCCCTGCATACGTTTGCTTTGTCTAGACTTTTCTCAGCTCATTTCCTTATTTGACAAATATCTATTGAGCAACTACTATGAATCAGGTAATCTCCAATGTACTACAAAAATAGACAAAATAAATTTTCCTTTAAGTTCTGTTGCTGAAAACAAAACAAAGCAAAAATGATGAAAGAAATCAAAGACATAAATAAATTTATAAATGTAATGTGCCCAAGGATTGGAAGACACAATATTAATAAGATGTAAATTCTCCTCAAATTCATATACAGAGTTAATGCATTTCCAAACAAAATCCCAGAACACTTTTTATAAATCAATGTTTATTAAAAAATTAATATGAAAAGTATTTTTGCTGTATATATTATTAGACATTTAAAATATTGAAAAGATTATAATAAAACATTTTAAATAACACTGTATATAGCTCTACACCCAAACTGAGAATGTAAACATTATATTATTTTAAAAAAAAATCAATTAGCAAAATTGACAACTAAATATAGAAACTCTGCACTGAAACTATAATAGTTTCTTAAATGTAAAAATCACATAAAGATGAGTTGCCAGATAAATTTTCAGGTAAATTATTTTAAGTATCAAAATAGTACCTGCTATATAAAGTTATACAGCTATACACAAATATAGAAATTTAATGAATCTATTTGCAAAAAGACAACACTGAACAAAAAATAACAACACATATAGACTTACAATTTTCAAAATATACAAACTTTCTACATAGATATGGACATAAAAATATTAAGGACAATATTATCAAATAGTCTTGAGAAAATAACTAATGAAAAAATATGGTTAGTTCAAATCAAAACCTCTAGGTAAATGGAAAGCAATATATGAGTTCAAAAAATAAGAAATATGGCCGGACATGGTGGCTCACATCTGTAATCCCAGCACTTTGGCAGACTGAGGGGGGCGGATCACGAGGTCAAGAGATTGAGACCATCCTGGCTAACAAGGTGAAATCACGTCTCTACTAAATATACAAAAAATTAGCTGGGCATGGTGGCGGGCACCTGTAGTCCCAGCTACTCAGGAGACTGAGGCAGGAGAATGGTGTGAACCTGGGAGGCAGAGCTTGCAGTGAACCTAGATCGCGCCACTGCACTCCAGCCTGGGCGACAGAGCGAGACTCCATCTCAAAAAAAAAAAAAAAAAAAAAGAAATTAAAATTTCCGTTGGTATAGATGAGATGTTGAGAAATCTAATATATTTTCCAAATTAAAACATAAAATTCTAAAATGTGTCTCTAACATGTAAATTAAGTAAAGTGACTAATATTAAGTAACCTGTTAAAAAGATATATTATGGCTAAAAATAATAATCAAAATATTCAGTCAAGAATGCCTGATATCAAAAACAATAAAAAATTTTTTAAGGTCTTTCCAGTGTATTAATGCAGAAGAAATAAATAAACCTACTGGAAAATGAGTAAGAAGTTCTGTAAGTTTGAAGATTACATATATTAAAGGATTATTTTTTAAATATATCAATAATGAAGCAGAAGATAAACTGCTTAAATTCTGAGTCTTCCATTATTAAAAAAACCTTGATTAGTGGGAAGTCTGTTTACCTTTTCCATCACTGTAAACAATTGGTAATTTTTTCAGGGATTTTTGCCCTCAGAGGAAATTCTAATTTGAAGGATTCCAGCCTTAGAAAAAGGAATACGCAATGGAGGATTTATCAAACTGTAGGAAAACCTGGTCCTCTTAGGATAAATATAAACATTTCTATGCTTCACAGTTCTCTGAAAGATGTCACCTTAAGCAATGTGTTTGTGTGTGTATGTGTGTGTGATCACATGTATGGATGTTCAACCGGGTTAGGGAAATGTACTAACATGATGTATGTGCATGTGTGTGTGCATATCTATCTATCTATCTATCTATCTATCTATCTATCTATCTGTCTATCTATCTATAGTGAGAGAGAGAGCGAGAGAGAGAGAGAGTTGGTGACTTTCCATATGTACAGGTTTCATGTCTGTGAATTCAGTCAACCATAGATCAAAAATAGCCAAAACAGAAAATAAAAAATAACAATACAATTAAAATAATAGAAATTTTAAAAACAATACAGTATAACAGCTACTTACAGAGCATTTACATTTATTGGATATTATAAATTATCTAGGATGTGTAGGTTATATGTAAATATTAGACCATTTTATAAAAAGGACAGGAGTATCTGTGGATTTTGGTATCCACAGGGAGTCCTGGAACAAATCCCCTGCAGATACCAAGGGACAACTATATACATATCAGGGGTAATGAAGATCTCAGCTTTTATCTCCTTATTTCCCACAGATCTACATAATATAGGGCAAGAAAATATATTTTAAAAAATCAAATTCAAATAAAACAAAACAAAACCATATACTAAGAAAAGCAAAACTGGAGATCCACATAGTGATCAATATCTAAATATATAAAACATGTATCAGATAAGAGGTGATATCCAAAACATATAAGGAACTCACACAACTCAATAGCAAAATAAAATGAACAACTTGAATTTAAAATGACCAAAGGACCAGAATAATTATTTCTCCAAATAAAACATAAATATGGCCAACAGTATATGAAAATGTTCTCAACATCATTAATCATCAGGGAATGCAAATCAAAACCACAGTGAGCTATCACCTCACAGCTATTAGAATGGCTTTTATCAAAAAGACAAGAGCTGGATCAGTGGCTCACACCTGTAATTCTAACACTTTTGGAGGCTGTGGTGGAAGGACAGCTTGAGGTCAGGAGTTCAAGACTAGCCTGGCCAACATAGCAAGACCTTGTTTCTACAAAAATTAATAATAATAATAATAATAATAATAATAATAATAATAACTTAGCTGGGTATGGGGGCATGCACCTGTAGTCTCAGCTACTCAATTCAGGAGATAAGAGACAACAAATGTTGACAAGGGTGTGGAGCAAAAGGAACCTTTGTGCACTGTTTTTTGAAATGTAGATTGGTGCGGTGATGGTGGAAAGAATATGAAGGTTCTTGGATAATAGAGTTTGGATATTTGTCTCCACCCAAATCTCATGTTTAATTGTAATCCCCAATTCCAGAGGTGGGGTCTGATGGTAGGTGTTTGTGTCATGGGGGTGAATACCTCATTGTTTGGTGCTTTCTTCAAAATAGTAAGTTCTCATGAGATTTGGTTGTTTAAAAGTGGATAACACTCCCTCCACCACTCTCTCTCTGTTGTTCAGGCTTTCGCTTTGTTATGTGCCAGCTTTCCCTTTGCCTTCCACCATGACTGTAAGCTTTCTGAGGCCTCATCAGAAGTCAAGAAGATGCCCGGTGCCATGCTGCCTGTACAGCCTACAGAACGGTAATCCAATTAAAACTGTTTTCTTTATAAATTACCCAGTCTCAGGTACTTCTTTATAGAAATGCAAGAATGGCAGAATACACCAGATAAACTAAAAACAGAACTCTCATAGGACCCAGTAATCTTTCTTCAGGTATTTACTCAAAATAAATAAAATTAGACCCTCATAGAGATACCTATATCCCCATGTTCTTTTCAGCAATATCCACAATAGCTAAGATACGGAAACAACCTAAATGTCCACTAATGGATAAATGAATAAAGAAATTGTGGTCTATATATACAGTGGAATTATTTTCAGTTTTATAGAAGAAGGAAATTGATAGCAGCAGCCTACCTAGGGCAGCCGCTGTGAGGAAGACGCCAGCTGCAGCAGGAGAGGTGCGGCCAGAGCTATGTGCTCCGTGGAGCCAGGAACAGATGAGATCCCCACCCGCTAGTGAGTTGGTAGGACTAGAGCCCCATGTTCCCAGGCGCAGCTGCAGCTCCAGACCTGGGCATCCCTGTGCTCTTGGGGCCTGAGAAGCCCCCTGCCCCCGCAGGCTTAAAGTGCCTCCTCCCACTCCTTGGCCTCTCCCTGCTCCCAGCACCCACTCTGATGTGGAGCAAAGTTGTGGCAGAGCCCAGGTGCTATTGTGACCTGGCCAGGTATGCTCATGCCCAGGGTAGTGCTGACATGCCAGGCCCCTGCCACCTCAGCCCCCTTTGGACTTTGGACACCGTCGAGCATGGGAGGGAAGCTGGGGAGCTGAAGGCAGCTAGCCATGGGCCTGCAAGTGCCCCTTGCATGGACTTCCTGGGTGCTGTAGACAGCATGTTGATGTCAGCAGGAGGCAGACAGGTTCCTAGGTGGGAAGAGGTGGGTCTCTGGTGAAACCCCACCTTCAAGCCAGGGACAGCCTGAAGGTTGGGGACTGCGCTGCCAGTTCCGGATGGAGTCCACAACCCACAGTGAAAACTTCCTTAATAAGTCTTTTGGCTGGTTGGATGGTGCTTTTTCCAGGCCCACCCATGGCCAACCATGGACCAATCAGCACATGCTTTCTCCCTTATGAGCCCATTAAAACCCCCCAGACTGAGCCAGACTCAGACACTCTTCAAGAAGACCTGCCTGCAGATAGGAGCTACCCACTTTGGGTCTCCACTGCGCTCTTCAGGATGACCTGCCTGTAAATAGGAGTTACCCACTTCAGGAGCTGTTCTGTTGCTCAGTAAAGCTCCTCTTTACCTTGTTCATCCTCCAGTTGTCCACATAACCTCATTCTTCCTGGATGCAGGAGAACAATTTGGAACCCACTGGCAGGAGCGAAAGGAGCTGTGACATGTTCCGGACTGGATTGCTGAGCTGCAGGATGTGTCATGCTCCCAGACTGTGGGAGTGAAGAGTGGCAACCCTTCTGGGGGCCCAGACCTTGGGGTTCCCCTAGCTGAGCTGCAGTAACACTATAGCCCTCCCATCTTATGCCCGTGCCCAGCAGCTGCCAAATGCATTGGGAAGCAGTGGCAGGGCCTGGACAGCCCAGGAGCTGTGGGCCGGCCGGAGCAGGGCAGCAGTACTGAAATAGCTGTAACACGGATGGGCTGAAACACACACCCCCAAAACACACCCCCACTCCACTGCTCACTGCCCTGAAGGTGATGAGGAGAAAAGAGTTGTGGCCCCTCTGGGGGCCCAGACTGTGGGGCTCCCTGAGCCTGGGCTGTGACACCCTGTAACACCCTTTTGGAGCTCTGTGCTTCCTGGCATCTCTGAGCATTCGGGCTACACCATGTTCCCCAGTGCCTACAGTGGAAGCTGCTTGCAGTATGCCTGGTACAGCTGCACCCTCACGTGGAGCCAGTGCCTGTGCCAGCACCTGGAGCTGCCTATCCTGCCACAGCTGGCACACCTTGCTGTGCGCAGTGGCTGGACCCCACACTCACTTGCTCACACACCACTAGCTGCTCCGTGCTTGGCTCGCCCTTGTCAGGCATAGGATCTGGGCGGATAGTGCAAGCCAACCACAGCTTGCTGGGCCGCATGGGTGGAATGAGTCCAGCAGACATGAGCAAAACCCAAGCAGAGGTGCCACCGGCCACAGAGTTTTCTGGTTAGTGATGGAACACCTAAGATTCTGTGTCAAAATCCAGCAATTTGCTACAACATGGATGAACCTAGAAGACATTATTTTAAGTGCAATAAGCCAGTCACAGAAAGAAAAATACGGAATGATTGTACTTACATTTGGACTGAAAATAACAACAAAAAAACTTGAATACATAAAAACACAGAAGATAGGTGGTTACCAGGTAGAGAGATGGAGTGGGGGAATGAGGATACCAAGGTGAAAGTGTACAAAGTTACAGTTTCATAAATCTAGAGATTTAAGATACATCAATGAAGACAATAGACTAGTACCCTCTTATAACAGAAGACATGTTCCGACATCCTCTTGGATGCCTCAAACCATGGATATTATCAAACCCTATATATACTCCATTTTCTATTTATCTATATACATATCTGTGATAAAGTTAAACTTATAAATTTTGTACAGTAAGATATTAAAAACAATAAGGAACAATTACAACAATATATTGTAGTTAAATTTATGTGAATGTAATTTCTCTCAATATATTATTTTACATAATATTTGTGGATTGTGGTTGACCATGGGCAACTGAAACCATAGAAAGTGAAACCACAAGTTATCGGGGGAACCACTCTAGTTAGTACTATTGAAAACTGGATAAAAGTGTGGATTTTAGGTACTTTTACCAACAAAAAAGGAAACCATTTGACATCATGGATATGTTAATTTGCTTATCTGTAGTAATTATTTCACTATGTATACGTATATTGAAATATCATGAGCCAGCCATGGTGGTATACACCTGTGTCCCCAGTTAAGTGGGAAGCTGAGGTGGAAGGATAACTTAAGCCCAGGAATTTGAGTTCAGGCTGAGCAACATAGTTAGATCCCATCTCTAAAAACAAACAAATACAACAAAAAATAATTTTGCTAAACATATACAGTAAAAATCTAAATATAAAAATATATTTCTCAAGACAGTGTGGTATTGATTTGAGGACTGACAGTTAAACCAATAGACATAATCAAATCCAGAAACAAATTCACCTATGCACCTAATTCATAACAATGTGATCCTAGAACAAAGTAGAGAAATGACTCTTCTATAAATTGTTCTTAGTCAATTTCATATCTATATGGGAAAAAAATGAATCTGGATCTGTACTCTATGTTATACACAAAAATACATTCCTGAAGAATTGTAGTCATAAATGAGAATGGTAATATTATGAATGTTCTAGAAAAAAATAGGAGAACATCTTTATGACTTGAAGAAGGCATAGTTCCCACATGAAGGATTCAAATACCATGAAGATAAGAGATATGGTTGACTGTATTTAAATTAAGAACATTTCCTTTAAAAAATTATGAGATTCAAAAAGTAGTCACAGAGAGATGATACTTCTGATATATACATATGACATAAAAATCATGTTCAGAGTACAATTAAGCAATTACTAAAAAGCAGTAAGAAAAGGCAAACAATTAAACAACAACAAAAAATGGCCAAAGTACTTGAACATCTGTGATATTGTTTGGCTGTGTCCCCACCCAAATCACACCTTGAATTGTAAAAATCACCAAGTGTCAAGGGTGGGGCCAGGTGGAGATAACTGAATCATGGGGGTGGTTTCTCCCTATACTGTTCTCATGCTAGTGAAGAAGACTCAGGAGATCTTATGGTTTTGTAAATGGAAGTTCCCCTGCACAAGCTCTTTTGCCTACCACCATATAAGACAATGCCTTTGCTTTTCCTTTGCCTCATGCCTTGACTGTGAGGCCTCCTTAGCTATGTGGAACTGTGAGTCCATTAAGCCTCTTTCCTTTATAAATTACCTAGTCTCAGGTATGTCTATATTAGCAGTATGAAACACACTAATAAAATGTCCTTTTCCAAACAAGAAATCTAAGAGGTCAATAATCACATAAAATTATTCTCAGCCCCTTTAGTTCTTAGGCCACTTTTTGATGGGATTTTTTTTTTTTCTGATTGATTTGAGTTTCTTGTAGATTCTGGATATTAGTCCTTAGTCAGATGCATAGTTTATGAATATTTTCTTCCATTTGGTGGGTTGTCTGTTTGCTCTGCTTATCATTTATTTCTTTTTCTGTGCAGAAGCTTTTTAGTTTAATTAAGTCCCATCTATTTACGTTGGTTTTTGTTGCATCTGCTTTTGGGTCCTTGGTCATGAACTCTTTGCCTAAACCAGTGTCTAGAAGAGTTTTCCTAATGTTTATCTTATATAATTTTTATGGTTTCAGGACTTAGACTTAAATCTTTGATCCATCTTGAGTTGATTTTTCTATAAGGTGAGAGATGAAGATCCCGTTTCATTCTTCTACCTGTGGCTTGCCAATTATCCCAGCACCATTTGTTGAAGTGGGTGTCCTTTCACCACTTTACGTTTTTGTTGGTTTTGTCAAAGATTTGTTGGCTATAACTATTTGGCTTTATTTCTGGGTTCTCTATGCTGTTCCATTGGTCTACATGACTATTTTTATAACAGTATCATGCTGCTTTGGTAAATATAGCCTTGTAGTATAGCTTGAAGTCAGGTAATGTGATGCCTCTAGATTTGTTCTTTTTGCTTAGTCTTGCTTTGGAGGCTGTTTTTTGTTATATATGAATTTTAGGATTTTTTTTCCAGTTCTGAGAAGAATGATAATGATATTTTGATAGGAATTGCATTTAATGGTAGTATGGTCATTTTCACAATACTGATTCTACCCATCCATGAGCATGGCATGTTTCCATTTGTTTGTGTCATCTATGATTTCTTTCAGCAGTGTTTTGTAGTTTTCCTTGTAAATATCTTTCACCTCCTTGGTTATATCAAATAATGTAGTGCTATACTGAGATAAGAATAAACAAACACAATGAGAATGTTGAAACAATAAATGCAGATGCAAAAAAATACACTTTGATTGCATTTATATAAAGTACAAAACAGAAAATAAATAATATTTACTGTTAGACATCTGTATAATGTTGAAGGGTGTAGGTTATTGACCAGAAAGAGGCAAGAGTGGGCTTCTCTGGTATTGATAAAATTTATTTTTTTCTTGATATGCTTGGAGGCTACACGAAGTGCAAAGTTTGTGAAAATTCAAAGGGCACATTTATGAAAATTGTATGTGCATATTTGGAAGTATTTTACACTTTCAAAGAAAGTACTGAATTTAATACCCTAGTATTAGATTTCTCACTTAAAGGAACAAATGTGGGGTAGGGGCCATATGGAACTCTCTAGTTGAAACAGTGATGTTGCTGATTATGCCTATGTTTATTTTTATTTTAAAATAAATCATGTTATAGGTACAATGAAACCTGAAATACCTACGGACACACAGATAGATTTATTATCTGATTAAAAAATGTTTTTTCAAAGAATTTTGAAAATAAATCTCATTGCTTTTGAACCCCTGAAATTCTACTCCATTGGTCAATATGTCTGTTTTGGTAACAGTACTATGCTGTTTTGGTTACTGTAGCCTTGTAGTATAGTTTGACATTAGGTAGTGTGATGCCTCCAGCTTTGTTCTTTTGCTTAGAATTGTCTTGACTATACAGGGTCTTCTTTGATTCCATATGAAATTTAAAACAGTTTTTTTCTCATTCTGTGAAGAATGTCAATGGTAGTATGATGGGAATAGCATTGAATTTATAAATTACTTTCATGATATTGATTCTTCCTATCCATGAGGATGGACTATTTTTCCATTCGTTTGTGTCCTCTCTCATTTTCTTGAGCAGTGGTTTGTACTTCTCCTTGAAAAGGTCCTTCACATCACTTGTTAGCTGTATTCCTAGGTATTTTATTCTCTTTTCAGTGATTGTGAATGGGAGTTCATTCATGATTTGGCTCTCTGCTTGCCTATTGTTGATGTAAAGGAATGCTTGTGATTTTGTATCCTGAGACTTTGCTGAAGTTGCTTATCAGTTCAAGAAGTTTTTGAGCTGAGATGATGGGGTTTTCTAAATATAAAATCATGTCGTCTGCAAACAGAGACAACTTGACTTCTTCTCTTCCTATTTAAATACACTTTATTTCTTTCTCTTGCCTGATTGCCCTGGTCAGAACTTCCAATACTATGTTGAATAGGGGCAGTGAGAGAGGGCATCCTTGTCTTGAACCAGATTTCAAAGGGAAGGCTTCCAGCTCCTACCCATTCAATATGATATTGGCTGTGGGTTTGTCATAAATAGCTCTTATTATTTTGAGATATATTCCATCAGTATGTAGTTTTTTGGGAGTTTCTAATGTGAAGGGATGTTGATTTTTATCAAAGGTCTTTTCTGCATCTGTTCAGATAATTGTGTGGTTTTTTCTTTTGTTCTGTTTACGTGATAGATTACATTTATTGATTTGCCTATGTTGAACCAGACTTGTATCCCACGGATGAATGCAACTTTATCGTGGTGGCTAAGTTTTTTGATGTGCTGCTTGATTCAATTTGCCCATATTTCATTGCGGATTTTCTCATTGATGTTCATTAGGAATATTGGCCTGAAGTTTTATTTTTTGTTGTGTCTCTTCATGGTTTTGGTATCAGGATGATGCTGGCTTTATAAAATGAGTTAGGGAGGAGTCCCTCCTTTCCAATTGATTGGAATAGTTTCAGAAGGAAAGGTAGCAGCTCCTCCTTGTATTTCTGGTAGAATTCAGCTGCGAATACTTCTGGGATTTTTTTTTTTTTTTTTTTTTTTTTTTTAGTTGGTAGGCTAATTATTACTGCCTCAATTTCAGAGCTTGTTATTGGTCTATTGAGGAATTCAACTTCTTCCTGGTTTAGTCTCGGTAGGGGGTATGGATCCAATAATTTACCCATTTCATCTAGATTTTCTAGTTTATTTGCATAAAGGTGTGTATAGTATTCTTGGACAGTAGCTGTTATTTCTGTAGGGTCAGTGGTGATATCCCCTTTATCATTTTTTTATTGTGACTATTCGATTCTTCTCTCTCTTTGTCTTTTTTTGTTGTTGTTGTTTTGAGACAGAGTCTCACTCTGTCGCCGAGGCTGGAGTGCAATGGTGCGATCTCCACTCACTGCAACCTCCGACTCCGGGTTCAAGCAATTCTCCTGCCTCAGCCTCCTGAGTAGCTGGGATTACAGGTGTGCACCACCATGCCTGGCGAATTTTTGTATTTTTAGTAGAGATGGGGTTTCACCCTGTTGATCAGGCAGGTCTTGAACTCCTGACCTCGTGATCAGCCTGCCTCAGCCTTCCAAAGCGCTGGGATTACAGGCGTGAGCCACTGCGCCCAGCTTATTTTGTTAATTTTTTCAAAAATACAGTTCCTGGATTTGTTGACTGCTTGGAGGGTTTTTTGTGTCTCTATCTCCTTCAATGGTACTAGTACCAAAACAGATGTATAGACCAATGGAGCAGAACAGAGACATCAGAAATAACACCACACATCTACAACCATCTGATTTTCAACAAACCTGACAAAAACAAGCAATGGGGAAAGGATCTCCTAATCAGTAAATGGTGCTGGGAAAGCTGGCTAGCCATATGCAGAAAACTGAAACCTGACCCCTTCCTAACACCTTACCCAAAATTAACTCAAGATGGATTAAAGACTTAAATGTAAAACCCAAAATCATAAAAACCCTAGAAGAAAACCTAGGCAATACCATTCAGGACATAGGCATGGGCAAAGACTTCATGACAAAAAAGCCAAAAGCAATGGCAACAAAAGCCAAAATTGGCAAATGGGATTTAATTAAATTCAAGAGCTTCTGCACAGCCAAAGAAACTATCATCAGAATGAACAGGCAACCTAAAGAATGGAAGACAATTTTTGCAATCTATCCATCTGACAAGGGTCTAATATCCAGAATTCACAGGGAACTTAAACATATTTACAAGACAAAGACAACCCCATCAGAAAGTGGGCTAAGGATATGAACAGACACTTTTCAAAAGAAGACATTTATGCAGCCCACACACATATGAAAAAAACTCAACATCACTGATCCTCAGAGAAATACAAATCAAAACCACAATGAGATGCCATCTCATGCCATTCTAAATGGCGATTATTAAAAAGTCGGGAAATAATAGATGCTGGCAAGGCTGTGGAGAAAGAGGAATGTTTTTGCACTATTGGTGGGAATGTAAATTAGTTCAACCATTGTAGAAGACAGTATGGTGACTCCTCAAGGACCTAGAACCAGAAATACCATTTGACCCAGTAATCCCATTACTGGGTATATACCCAAAGGAATATAAATCATTCTATTATAAAGACACAAGCACATGTATGTTTATTGCAGCACTGTTTACAATATCAAAGACATGGAACCAACCCAAATGCCCATCAAAGATAGACTAGATAAAGAAAATGTGGTATATATACACCATGGAACACTATGCAGCCATGAAAAGGAATGAGATCATGTCCTTTGCAGTGACATGGATGAAGCTGGAAGCCATCATCCTCAGCAAACTAACACAGGAACAGAAAACCAAACGCCACATGTTCTCACTCATAAGTGCGAGTTGAACATTGAGAACACATGGACACAGAGAGAGGAACAATACACACTAGCGCCAGTTAAGAGGTGGGGCGTGAGGGGAGAGAACTTAGAGGACAGGTCAATAGGTGAAGCAAACTACCATGGCGCATGTATACCTATGTAACAAACCTGCATGTTCTGTGCATGTATCCTGTTTTTTTTTTTTAGAAGAAATAAAGAAAAAAAACAAAGAAACTCCCAAAGAAGTGGATATTATTTGAGGATTGTATGCCTTCTAAAATAATTTGCATTTTAATTTCCTAATTTTTAGGTTTTTCTGCAAAAAATAGGTCCAAACTAATTTTATTCTAGACCCAGAATAACACTGTTCATGTTAAAGGTAAACATTATACCAAATTTCTATACCACAGTTCAACTCCTCTTAATTCTATACATAGCAGTTGTCACACCCCATACATGATATTCTTTACTGCTTTGCTAACCCAAATATCTTTTAAGTCTAATGTACAGATTTTAGGAGATAGTGAAATTTTTGTGCCACATATGCCTTTAATGACTGTTTTAATTTTGTCTTAAGCACACTTACTACATTTTGCCTTTAAGTACAAAAAAAGTGTTTTTTAAGGGCTTAAATTGTGTATATATGTATGTGTCAGAGAGAACGAATCAATAAATCTGGCATCTTTTTATTACATTTTTAAAACAAATGATTCTAGTAACAGTTTTGGCAAAATTAATGTTTTTTAAATTTTATAAACATTTTTAATCCCAATAGAAAAAGTTATCAGGCATATGATGACTGAAATAAACATACTGTGAGAAATAGTGATGCTATATTTAGGAAAGTGTAATTTAATAGAGGAATATAGAGAAGAGAAACAAGTAGAGAAATCTACAAAAATTTCAAACGGGGCTGGTAAATTTGATTTTTATGAAATTAAATAGAAAACAAAGTAAACAAACAAAAAACCCTCCAAAATATTGATCTACTGCTTAATACCATATATGTTACTGTTGGTTAGAAGTCACATATTTAAAACTTTATAAGCTTTATTTAAGTTCCACTTTATTTTCTTACAGATTCTCATAAATAATATACTTTAAATAAAATATTTGAAGAGCATGTATTGAAATGTGGCCTCCAAATCAAGTAGTCATTTAAAGTGCAAAGAAACAAATCACTGGGAAGAAACTTTCTAACAATATCCTTGCAAACTGTAGCATGGATCTCTCTCTCTCTCTCTCTCTCTGTGTGTGTGTGTGTGTCTCTCTCTGTCTAAACACACACCACACACACACACAATTTTAGCAACCGGGACAGGGCAAAGCAATCATGCAAAGAGCTTTTATTAATATGAGCAATGAAAAGTGATCTTTTAGATTTTGTTTGTTTGAAACTAATAATTGAAGTGCAAACTTTTTTTCTTATCTTTCTTTGTAACCAAAGCAGGAAATGAAGTCAGAGATAAAGATAATTCTATGGATAAAAATGTAAAAATAAAAGAAAATAAATCAAAACATAGTTATTCGAGGGAAATCTTGGACTGGTTTTACTTAACATGTATTTAATCTGCACTAGAAAGTGAACAGTGTGATCCATGCTTTCATACTGCACTATGCTTTTCCACAGTCAAAAATGTTAAGTAAAAAAAAAAGTTAAATCATATTGAGAAACTGTGATACTAGTTTAGATAACTGGACAGATAACAGCCTTTGAAATAGGAGGCCATGCCTTATTCACATTTGAATTCCATATAAGTCCTGGCAAGATGCCTTGAATAAAACACCCAATAAAAATCATTGAATTAGTAAAAATATGTAGAGAAATATTCATAAATCAGTATCGACTTCCAAATTGTAATTTTAAGGAACAGTAATGAAGTTTACATATAATAATGAACTGAGAGGCAGATCAGAGTTTATAGATAATTGACCTAGAATTAATTGTCCTCTACTTAGGAAAACACATGCCTTGAAGTACTATTGCACATAAAGTATAAAATATTTTTTCTTTATAATTAAGTTTAGTAGACAGAGGAAAAAAATAAGACCTTTGCTCAAAACATGGTGTTTTGTGCTTAAAAATTGAGTGTGTGTATTTTTTGAAATTATCACTCATGTGGAAATGTTTCAGATTAAAAAATGCAAAATAAGAATATATTGAATATTCGTAAAATAATAGAGTAAAATAATTAAGAATCACTTTGGATAGAATGCTATGAGACAACTGTGCTTAGCACATGAGAAGAGTTATTAAAATCCAGAACTGTCTTCTATAAGTTTTCTCTGAAAATAAAAAGTTGCAATGCAATTAATATTTCTTTGTAAACAACAAAAGTGATATTTAGGGTTTGAAAGACTTAATGCTGCAGTAAGCTAATATTAAAAATAATTTATTATGACCTGCTCAGTATTATTCACGAATATCAAGGTGCCTATTTTCAAAACAGGGCTAGAATAAACTCAGATGTACAAGAAACTTTTAAATACTTTCTATCCTTCCTTCCATCATTTCTTCTTCTGAGTAAAATGTCTCTATATTTGCTTTTCTATACTGTTGATCTATCCTATTTTTGGTTAGTATTTTCTTTAAAATAATGTTGTTACACACACATTCCTAGCCCTTTCTCTTCCACTAATGCCCACACCGATAAGATATATAAAATTTATAGAGACAATGCTTCTGAGTATGACAAAAATGCAGATGTAAATCATTCATGGAAATGTGGAACAATTGAAGAAGCCTAGAGAATGTATACAAGTATTGGAAACTACTGAATCTTTGTTAATTGTTCTGCTCTGAGTCAGGCTTGTGAAACACCCATGGTATGGTAGACAAAATGAAGGTAATAAAATGTCCTTGTCTCTGCATCTTGCAAGTGGTCCAATGTACTTAAGGACCCAAGTGTATATACGCCAATTAACAGAAATCTGTGAATATTAGAAAAGTACTCAATCTCATCACAATGGCTAATTCCAGGTAGGCATAAATTACTAATATGTAATTAGTGGAACTAAGCTAAACTCTAGCAATTGATAATAATACAAGTTTTACAAGAATCTGAACTAGAAAATTTAAAGTGTTTAAATTTGATAGTGATTATACAGTACTAGTTAAAGGGAAGAGACTCAGAGTTTAGTATTATTAAAAAGTAGACAGTATTGTAAAGCTGTTCCAATATTTACATGAGCTTTTCTTAGTATGCAACCACCTTTGATGATTTCACAGGCACAATTTCAAACGTCAGTTTTCTTATCTGTAAAATTGTCCCAATGATTTAATCTATCTCATAGGGTATATGAATTAGATGAAATGATGCATGTAAAGGGTTTATTACAGTGTCTGACAGGTAACATGCACCAAGTAAATGGTAGGTATGTAGTCATAAAATGCTAAAAATAATTTACCATATACTTACTATTGGTATTATAAATTATATGAACTCTAAATAGAATACGTCATTTGCTATACACAACAAACATACAGGATACATATCTCTTTTTTACAGATGTGGGAATGTATATTAATTCAAACCTGGCTGAATCCAAAATTCTTAATCTTGCTTATATATTGCGTAATATAAATTAGAGAGTACTCTGAGTAAGTGGGAGGAGTATTAGAGAGTATTCGATAGTCATCTACAGTCCACTGTACAAATATTAAAGGATTTTTTTAGCCTCTTGTGTTCATCAAGACTAACTGATTCCTCGGAAAGAGCCCAAGCATCAGATGTGTGACTTATTTCGGGCCTTTCCCTATTCTGATGAGAAGTGAGTGCATGATTTTGTGGTCCACAGATTTTTTCTTTCAGTGGTTATAAAGCTCTGGATGATATTAATCAAGAAGATGGTCCAGATAAAATAAGCGGTTTTACGGAGTTTGGTGAGTGCTGAAGAGGAACCAGGCAGCAAAAAAGAAACAAACAAAACAAAAGCCTACCATCATCTTTTGGTTTGTAGACACTGTGCTGTGTCCAGTGTTATAAAGCCTCTCTCAGTAATTCCAACAAGTAGTTTTCATGAATCCTATTTTACCAAGAAGAGGTATCAGAGATGTAAGTAAACTGCCCAGGGACACAGGGTTGCTGCCATAGAATTTAATGATTCATTCTCAAGTAACTCAAAATAATAAGTGCTCCTCTTTTTAGTGCTATACGCTTTATATAAAATCTTAGAATACATATGCTGTGTTTTCTTGAACTTGAATTTTATTTTAAATGATGGTGAAATGTTCACCACAGCAAGCTCAATTATCTACTTCATAATTCTCAATGATACCCATCTAAGACTTAAAAAGTGAAATATTTTCCACTTAGCTGTGAAATATTTTAAATTATGCCTAGCAGATTTTTTATCGGTCCCTTCAATTTTAATGTCTTTGGCAGAGAATTAGTAAAATATGTATTGATAAAGCCAAAACAAAATTACATAATTACAACTCTATCAACAAGTATATCCAAATATTTGAGACATCTTCTTAAAAAATAATTTGTTAATGTTGAACCTAAAATTTCATATACATGTTTATTTATATGTCATTTTTGTTTTCATAAAATGATGCCAAAGCTAATGGGAAGTTAGGAATCCAGAGCTAGAAAATAATTATTAAAATGCATAATTTACAAATATTTCACATATTACATTATAATTATGGATGAATATAACATTGCATTTTATAGTGACTTACATTTTCCAAAGTAGTTTTACATCTAATAGTATTTCATGGTTGCCATAATAAAATGCAGATAGCAATTATCTTTTAAACTAAGAGTGGAAAGTAGAAAAGAATTACAAGAAATCATTGCCTCAATCTTAAAGGTATGCAGAATATTTGCATTGCTTTTTATTGCTTTATTTTTACTTATGCCATATTCTAAATATGTTTAGCATCATTTTTATTAAGTATCCATTAGAAACTTCTCTAAGAAAAATGCCAAGAAAAGTGAATCCAGAAAAAATAACTCAGATACTCAAATCTTGATGAACTATCCTCATTATGTATCATAGTTAAGTACCAGCTCAAAGGCCTTTGACCTGTGTAATTATTATTCTGCTTTGAGACATGTCATTTCATCTATTCTTCCTAGAAAATAGAAACCATTTGATTTACTATTTCATACAGTGGACAAATTAGCACTGTCCTGTAACGTGGGGTTAATGCTAGTAGATGGACCACAGACAGTCCAGCTCTTTCTCTCCTTCATGTTACTTAAATTTATGATGACCTATTGTTCCTGCAGGTCAAAGAGCTTCCTATAAATCTAGCAGGAAAAAATTATATTCCCATGATAATTATTAAAAGTATTTCAGTCAATCCCCTTTCAAGAATTTATCTGCAGGATATATTTTCATCCTTTAAACATAATAGCGAATTAGATTATTTTCTGCTCAGGTACTTCTTTTGAAATAGCAATATACTAATTGGGAGACATTTCATTTCCAGTAGATTCTTAAATAGACTTTTAAAGAGATTTACTTATTTTTACTTATATCAATCCAAAGTTCCCTCACTGAAAATGTGTGGGGTCAGAAATATTCTCAGTAGAGAGGTTTTTGGATTTTGGAAATGTGAGACCGTTTACGTAATAATACATACTATCCTCAGCATGGGCTTAAACAGCAGTTCCTAATTATGCATATTATTATTTTTTCGATAAAATATTAATTAAATGGCATAAATATGGAATACAAATAGTCTTATCTCATTTCAGATTATGTTTTCCAAATGTGTTCAGGAGAGTCTGATTTTGCAGTGAAAGCCTATTTGCAAGGGTATTTTAAAAACGTTTCAGCGGCCAGGCCTGGTGACTCATGCCTGTAATCCCAGCACTTTGGAAGTCTGAGGCAGGTGGATCATGAGATCAGTATGAGACCAGCCTGGCCAAGATGGTGAAACCCTGTCTCTACTAAAAAAACAAAACAAAAATTAGACGGGTGTGGTGGCATGTGCCTGTAATCCCAGCTACTCGGGAGGCTAATGCAGGAGAGTCACTTGAACCTGGGAGGCGGAGGTTGCAGTGAGCCGAGATCATGCTCCAGCCTGGGCAATAAGAGTGAAATTCCATCTTAAAAATAAATAAATAAATAAATAAAATAAAACTATTTCTCCACCTAAAAAACTTCAGGAATTTGATAATGAGAATATTGAATTTTCCAATCTGTATAAATATTTCATATGTGATCAGAAAGTCTAAAACTCACCTGCTTTTAAAATGCAAAATAATAGCAACAAACCAGTAAGTAGCAGTCAATACCCTCTTTCCCCACCCCAGTAATTCCAATGTGCAATAATTTGCAATACAAGAAAAATGCCAATCAACTTCCAAAAGTAAATATTCTGTTTTCCAAGAATTGCTATTAAACCTACATTTCATCCAGATTTTTTTTAATTGAGTGCATGCATCTATCATAAAATGATTGAGTTTTGTGCTGTCACTGTTTAGAACCCAGATTATTTTCATATCACTCTTATTCATCTTTCTCCTTGCCCTGTGTTGTAGGTATTATGAATATGAGTCTGAATCCCAGAGATACTGTCACCTTACCCCAGGCCATTAGGTCAGTATATGGGAGAATCAGACTTAGAAGTGCCACAGAACTAAATAAGTCTCTTTGAGCCACATGCTTTAGCCAAATAGTATAATAGTATTAGAATATAAGTAGACAAGGTAGCATGGATTAAAACAAAAAATTTTAAAAAGAGGAGGCTGTGAAATCATAATGATCTGAGTTTGAATTTAGATCATTTGAAATTATATAACCTTGAACAAGTTACACATACTCACTTATTCTATTACTTCCTTTTACTCTTTGAACATTTTAATCACAACCTGTTTTAAAATCCCTTTCAACATGCTTTTATATCTATGTTTCCTCCCCTTTTAATTTTCCCATTTTTTTCAAATTTTGAATTTCTTTCAGATCTGTGGATTTCCTGATGTGCTTAGCATTTTATCTGTGAGATCAGTTTTAATGGAAATGGCTCCCTCATGTAGAAATCAGTCCCTTCATAGTCATTACTACACATCAGTAGTTAGAAAAAAAAAGATACACTGTTAATATTTTACTGAATACAAATTGAAATTGTTTTACACTATGCCTTTGAAATTCATTTCAAATAACTTTTCAAAAGTGTGCTAAATTATGCTACAAAACCCACCCTCCCCTCGCTTGATGACCATTCATCAATAACTCACTTAAGGTATACAGCTGTCTACGTGTGTACATGTACTTTGCTTCTGGCCAATAAGAAGTAAGAAAATTCTTCTTTGCAGAAAGTTTGGGAGAGTTTTTGCTTTTCTTATAAAAGAAGGAGGAGAAAGCATTCCAATATTTCCCTTCTCTTTTGTTTTTCTTTCTGTCTGGAATGCTGAATGTAATGATTAGAGGTGCAAAAGACACCTTGAAAACTTGACCAAGGAAGCCAATCTGCTTAAGAGGCAGAAAAACAGGGAGAGCTTGATATTCTCTGTGTTAAGTCTTCGTTGTCAACCTTGACAGCTCTAAAATTGGTTTTCTGTAACACAGACACTCTAAAACTCTCCACAAATAATTACTGAAATTTTTAAATAAGCTAATCCACTTAAATTGATTTTCACAGTGTTTGACACATGCAATGTAATCATATGTTAAGTGTTTTATTATCAATATTCTAGCCTATGAGTTATCATAAACAGAATATACAAACTTAAAAGGCTAACATGACATAGAAATATCAGAAATGAAATGAATTATATAAAAAGGCAATACCCCTAAGGAACTCACAATTTAATTAATATAGAATAGAATGTTAAAACAAATTTTGAAGTTTCTGTTACCCATGCTGCAGTTTGAGGCCACCATATTCGTATTACTTGTTGTTGGTACATAGGTTCCTGAATATCGTATTTTACCTGAAGCCTTTTCATAGAGACCCACAACATTCTACTCTGTTATACAACAGGATAAAAACTCCTGACCTTACAACCGAGCACTTTCAGATTTTGTCATAGAGTGGGCTGCTGATTTTAATATAAATCTCATATTTGCTTTATTTGTTTAAAATTTTACATCTTTGAAAGGTAATACATTCCCAGAACTCAAATTCCAGTTGTATGTATTAAAGATAGAGCTATAGATGTTTTACTATCAATTGTGTTCTAATCATATTTTTCTTCTAAATCCCTATAAATCTCCCATTGTATTAATTTCTTATACATACTTTAAAGAGTTATTGTGCAAATATAAGAATATATTCATATTTTTGTCATCCTATTTTTACACAAAATATAACCTGTTACATACTGTGTTCTAAACTTTGCTTTTTTCACTAATATATATTTAAAAGCTTTTTATATCAATAGTTTCTAATCTTTCACTCTGATAAGCACTGCTGCAATAGATACCCTTTACACATATCATTTTTATGTATTCATATTTGTCTTTAGGATAAATTCTCAGAAGTATGAATTTTCAGACCAAAAGTCAACGTGTGGATATTTGGCAACTCTTATTGAGTTTTAGAGCATAATTTGATAACCATGTTAATATTAAATTCACTTTTTCTCTGACTGCCACTGTTTATGGATCTTCTGAAACATCCAACAGTAGTGAGTTGCTCACTATGCTAACCATCAAATTTGACAGGTGGAGAGATAGAGGTGAAAATATAGGGACATAGAAATATTACTCTGTGTGTGTATATATATAAATATACACACACTATATATAATTACCTTATACACATACTTTCACTAATATCTAATATATATATGCAAAAAGTTCATGCTTTGTGTATCTAGCCCAAAAATGTTTACAAATTGAACATGCCAAAGAAATTGTCAGTACTCCAGATGTCTCCTTAATGCTCTTTTCCAGCAACCCATCCTACCATTCTGATTTCTAACAGCATAGAATAATTTTGATTACTTTTGCACTAAATACAAATGGAATTATAGAGTGTGAACTTTTGTGTCTGGCTTCTCTCAGCATTATATGTTTGCATATATGTTGAATATATAAGTATTCTATATATATAAATATACACACATATATACACCCCCTCATAAATATTTATTTATTTGCTTATTTTATATACCTATGTGTATATAAAGTTGCTCGTTCATAAGATTTATATATGCTGAGCTTTGGTAGGTATGCCAATATTTTCCTAAGTGGTTACTAATTTATTCTTCCATAAATTGTGTATGAGATTTTCAGTGTCTCCATTCTTGCCAACATTTGGCATTTACAATATTTTTTTATTGACCATCACTCTTTGTGGTGTTTCTCTTTAACAATGTGCTTTTAATTTGTTGTTATCTAATGATAAGATATTAAGAGTTTAAAAAATGACTCATGCAATTATATAGTGAATGTATGTCAGCTATTTTATTTTACTCGTTAATTGATGGGGGAAGCAGTAGGGTGTTGAAACCAGTTCAAAGTTCCTTTTGAGTTGCCGAATAATTTTGGCAATCCAATACAGGAATTTGAGGAGAAAATTGGTTTTTAGATTCAAAACTGGTTGGTGTCTTTTAGGGCAATATATTGTAATTATTTATTTATTTATTTATTTATTTATTTATTTAATTTTTAGGTGGAGTCTCACTTTGTCACCCAGGCTGGAGTGCAGTGGCACGATCTTGGCTCACTGCAACCTCCACCTCCTGAATTCAAGCGGTTCTTCTGCCTCAGCCTCCCAAGTAGCTGGGACTACAGGTACGCACCACCATGCCCGGCTAATTTTTGTATTTTTAGCAGAGACGGGGTTTCACTGTGTTGGCCAGGCTGGTCTTGAACTCCTGACCTCATGATCCGCCCGCCTTGGCCTCCCAAAGTGCTGGGATTACAGGCATGAGCCACCGTGCCTGGCCACATTGTAATCTTTAAAAGTATATTTCCACCAGACAGAAATAATTTGTTTTTTACTTGAAAATTATCTACAAAATAAATTCTGCCCTTACAGAACTGTGAAGCAACAGAACTGTAAAGTCAACAGTAAAGCAACCAAAGGTACAAGACCAGTAATGCCGTAAATAAATAACTGGTAATCTCTTTTGATTATTTCCAAGCTTCTAACAATTTTTCTAATAATTTTCCACCACCCTTTGGTTGATAATCTCCGAAGATTTTTATGAATTATAGTAAGACTCATTTCATTATGTTTGGTTGGATTATTACATATATAGGTCCAACCAAAGTGTTAATTACATAGGCTTCATTGAGCATCCTGTGTTGTATTAACCAGTACCAGAGAACTAACTTTCATTTACAAATTTTCATAAGGAATCTTAGATTGAACTTCTGTATCATTTGCTCTTATATACTGAGGCTAAAAAACTGAATACAAATGCTCTATTCGTTTTGACCCACAGGACATCTAATTTGAATGAATTCTACTCTTTCTGAGGTCCTCCAAATTTGTTAAGGCTTATGAACTTTCTTACCACCTATGAAAACAGAGGTGTTGAGTATCAGGTACCAATAGAAGAATAAAAACATTGCCAACAACATTTCAAACAAAAAACAAGTATTACATTTCTTTAATTAGTTCATTCAATTTTGTATAATTTGATGTTGCTCCCTAGGTGTTGGGTCAGCATTCTCTGTTTCTGAACTAAAAATCCTAAGATACAGAGATCAGTGTTACAGTCAACGTATAAAAAATGTCAGCTCAGTAGCTTGTACAAAAGTTTTCATTCTTTGAAGCAAGAGTATTTTAAGCAACTTGATACTATTATTTCCATAGAACTCTGGGAATATCTTTATTTGTTGAACACTTAGCTTCTAAACTGCGGCAGGGAATATATAGGAAAGCAGATATATGTTTGATAATAAGACTAAAGAGCTGTGATTAATTTATTTCAGTAACCAAGTATAAAAACTCGAGGAGTATAAAATCCTCTTTGAATTACAATTCATAACTATTTATTAATGGTGTGATCCATGTTTCCCCAAAGGTAAGAGCACAGTAGGTAGAGTAAACGCATGGGAAATATCCAGTGCTCTTCCATGATGCGTACAATTTCTGAAGTATTCACTTTAATAACATATCATCTGGATGAAGTTAACAAGCAAAGGCTGGGCATCTCTTCTGATTTCACAATTCCTACCAAGCAGCCCTTCCAGCAGTGATGAGATAATATATGTTGCATACATATGGAATATTTTTAGTGCTTCTTTTCATAATGTAAAATAATAAATCCTTGTGATTTCAAGAACTTCTGGGAAATTTCAAAGGCAATTTTTGGTGCAAAGTTTTTTTATTTTCTGAATATAGTTTCTGATATTAAAAAGGCAAAATTAAAAGTTGTTAGAAGAGATGTGATCATTTGACTCAGACAGAATAATGAGTGGATGGGAAGTTATGATGATAATCAAAATGACAAAAAAATTTAAATAAAAAGAAGAAGGCAGCATAAATGTCAGAAAATTTAGTTCTGATAATCAAGGAACATTTGTTCTCCTGTATTTTGGGGATTTTTTATTTGTTTTTATAAATAATGAAAGGAATAATAAAATCAACACAAGCAGTAAAAATTATTCTTCTAGAGAGATCACATAGAAAATAAAGTATTATCATTTACATCCCCTAATGAATAGCTCTAGGATTAATGTGTTTTTTGTTTTTTGTTTGTTTTTTTTTGGTTTTGGGTATCTTTTTGAGATGGAGTGTCACTCTGTCACTCAAGCGGGAGTGCAGTGCGTGATCTTGGCTCACTGCAACCTCTGCCTCCCGGGCTCAAGTGATTCTTCTGCCTCAACCTTCTTAGTAGCTGGGATTACAGGCGTGTACCACCCACACACTCAGCTAATTTTTTTTGTGTGTGTATTTTTTGGTAGAGACAGGGTTTCATCATATTGGCCAGGCTGGTCTTGAACTCCTGACCTCAAGTGATCTGCCCACTTTGGCCTCCCAAAGTGCTGGGATTACATGGGTGAGCCACCAAGCCCAGCCAGATTAAAACAAACAAACAAACAAACAAACAAAGAAAAAGCCAGGCCCCGAGCAGTGGCTCATGCCTGTGCCTGTAATAACAGCACATTGAGAGACCAAGGCGGGCAGATCACTTATCAGGAGTTTAACACCAGCCTGGCCAACATGGCAAAACTCTCTTTCTACAAAAAATACAAAAATTAGCCAGTTATGGTGACACACGCCTGTAATCCCAAATACTCAGGAGGCCAAGGCACAAGGATCACTTGAATCTAGGAGGCACTGGACTGAAGTGAGCAGAGATCACTCCACTGCATTCCAGCCGGGATGACACAGGGACACTCTGTCTCAGGAACAACAAAAGAGAAACAAAATAAGCCAAATTCTTATTTTGAACTAATTTACCATTTGAGAGTGAAGTAATTTACTATTTGAGAGCAAAGTTTGTCATGGAGTCCTTTTTTGTTCTTAAATTTTTAATACAGATCATTAAAAGTGAGTGAACTTTGTGGGAAAGTTAAAACAATAGCATCTTCACCGACTGAGGTATTAAAAAACAAGATAAAAAATATTACCCCCCTCACTATTCTACAACTTTCTATACACTCTCCAATTTTGTCTTTCATTATGTTTTTATATTTCAGAACAAAGTTAACACTTTAGAGCAAAATGGCTTTTCCTTTTTCTTACAAAATAAAACTCACCTTATTACTCAGCATATGTGGTGATCTTTCTAAGTCACTATTGTTTCTAGGTAATATCAACCACTATATCAATTATAACTTTTTAGGAAGGTATTATAGTAACTTTATTTCATGGACAAAATTCAGTAGTAAATAATTGAGAACTGCTCACCATATACAAATATATTAGCAAACTAGCAAAATGCATGAATACCCAAAGCACAACTTTCCCTTACACATTTTTAGGTGGCAAAAGTAAACATCTGCTTTCCTATGACCCAGTAAATAGTAATTTCATAACATGAAGATATTATATATAGAAATTACCAATAAATATTTCAACCTTCTGAATTACTTAGATATTACGTAGTTATCTGAAGGGTAGTCATTAAATACTCATTCAAGGTTTTAAGTTACCAAAAGATTTGGAAATAATGTTCATGTTAACGCATTAAAAATATGATAGCTCATGGTGGCTCACGCCTGTTATCCCAGAACTTTGGGAGGCTAAGACAGGAACATCACTGAGGCCAGGAGTTCTAGGCCAGCCTGAGAAACAGCGCAAGACCTTATCTCTACAAAAAATTTAAATATCTAGATGGGCATGGTGGTACACACCTGTAGTTCCAGCTACTTGGGAGGCTTAGGCAGGAGGGTCGCTGGGGTCCAGGAGTTTGAGGTTACAGAGAGCTGTGATTCTGCCACTGCATTCCATCCTGTGTGACAGGACAAGACCCTATCTCAAAAAAAATATATATATATATAAAATAAATGATTGCTCAAATAAAAATATTCATAAAGTTAAAATTCAATTTTGTTGAACAAAATTTACATTTTTTTATAATTTGAAAGCTTATACTAGGATAAAGCTTATTATTTTGATCAGAAAACTGGTATAAGATTAGAAACTCAAGATTAGTCTATTTATTAAGAAGCAATTCTAAATAAGACTGAAACTATAAAGTTCATTTTTATATTATACTCTATATTAATAAATCAGAGAAAAGACATAACCAGTAACTTATTTCTATAAACTTATAATACCATTTTAATTGAAGAGATACAAAGTATTAATTGATAAATACTCTCCATAGGTAGAAAAAGACTTTGCACTAAGCTTTCTGAGTTGTAGACAAAGAGACAAACAGAAACATGTAATGTCTGCAATTTCCATTCTACAATTTCTGTCACATATCAAAAGAAAAAAAAGGAAAAAGAAAACAAACAAAATCTGTAAAAATTCACTAATCTATCAAAAAATTATTCTAACTGGGCAAAAAAAGTTTCCTTAATTAATTTCAGTTGATAAATTGACACAAAAAGACTCAGAACTATATTTTGTGTCATCTTTTACCCAGTAGAGTATAGATCTTCATCATTCACTTACAGAAATCTCCAAATTATCAAACTAAAAACCAAATTCTGAATCATGCCATCATTGGGAAATAAGTTACTAATATGAGTAAACTAGCAGCAAAAAATAAAACAAAATCAGTAGGGGTAGAGAAGGAAAGACTACGGTTCGTGAAATAAAAATTCTGTGTTTCTTGGGTTTTCCTCTGGAAATCAGGAAAGAAAAAAAGGGCCTGAACTTAAGCAGCCCATAATGTAAATTACTTGACTCCATTAAATATGTCCATTTGGGCTACTCAACAGGACATCCAAAAATGCAAATATAAAGTGAACATGCAGCAAATTTGTATTTAAATAATGTGTTGATGAGGGAACAGGTAAGATGTTAAAACCAGTTTAAAGAGCATTTTAGTAGTTGGATATTTATAGGAGGTTTAATAAACATGTATTAGGGTATAAATGCTAGATTTCTATAAAACTGATTCATGTCCAACAGGACAAAAATCAATAATCTTTTGAGTTTTATCTTTACAATGGCAGGAAATATTTGCACTTTTCAAGGTGAACATATAAAAGATAATCTCTGACCCTATACAGACCTGCAAAATAGTGCGCCAACTGGTAAAACCACCAAAGTTACAAATACGGTAATGCACTACAAAAGCATGCAATAATCTGTAGTGTATTTACAAGTCTCAAATCATTTTTTAGATAATTTTAATTAAATTATGTGCTTTTGGAACTATTCAAGATTTTTTCATTATTTTTCCATTTCATTCTCTTTTTAATATTAATTTTTAGAAATATGTATGTATATATTCATATGTGTGTATATCCACATAATTTTTTTTAATTTTTTTTAAACATTTCTCCTCTTTCAGTGCTATAATGCTCTGCATAACTGTCATAGTCACAATGAGAGGAGACAACGTGCTAACAGCCCTCGCTCGCTCTCAGCACCTCCTTGGCCTCGGTGTTCACTCTGGCCATGCTTGAGGAGCCCTTCAGCCCACCACTGCACTGCGGGAGCCCCTCTCTGGGCTGGCCTAGGCCAGAGCCCGCTCCCTCTGCTTCTGGGCAGGAGTGGAGGGAGAGGTGCAGACGGGAACTGGGGCTGCGCGTGGCGCTCGCAGGCCAGCACAAGGTCTGGGTGGGTGTGGGCTCGGTGGGCCCCGCACTCAGAGTGGCTGGCCAGCACCGCTAGCCCCAGGCAGTGAGGACCTTAGAACCCAGACCAACAGCTGCGGAGGGTGTGCCGGGTCCCCCAGCACCACGGGCCCACCCATGCAGTGCTCGAATTCTCGCTGGGCCTCAATTGCCTCCCCACGGGGCAGGGGTCTGCCTGGCAGCCCGCCATGCCCAAGGTGCCTGCCCCCTCCCCCCAAGAGCTCCCACATGGCTGAAGCCTCCCTGACAGGCACTGCCCCCTGCTCCACAGCACCTAGTCCTATCCACCGCCCAAAGGCTGAGGAGTGCTGGTGCACAGTATGGGACTGGCAGGCAGCTCTGCCTGCAGCCCCAGCGCAGGATCCACTAGGCAAAGCCAGCTGGGCTCCTGAGTTGGGTGGGGACTTGGAGAACTTTTATGTCTAGCTAGAGGATTGTAAATGCACCAATTAGCACTCTGTGTCTAGCTCAGGGATTGTAAATGCACCAATCAGCATCCTGTCAAAAATGGACCAATCAGCGCTCTGTAAAATGGACCAATCAGCTCTCTGTAAAATGGACCAATCAGCTCTCTGTAAAATGAACCAATCAGCAGAAAGTGGGTGGGGCCAGATAAGGGAATAAAAGCAGGCAGCTGAGCCGGCAGCTGTAGTCTGCTCCCGTGCTGTTCCAGACTGTGGAAGCTTTGTTCTTTCACTCTTCACACTAAATTTTGTTGCTGCTCACTCTTTGAGTTTGTGCAGCCTTTATGAGCTGTAGCAATCACTGTGAAGGTCTGCAGCTTCAGCCTTGAAGCCAGCGAGATCATGAATCCCCAGGGGAGGAATGAGCAACTCCAGGCGCGCCACGTGTAAGAACTGTAACGTGCACAACAAGTCTGCAGCTTCACTCCTGAAGCCAGCGAGACCAGGAACCCACTGGAGGGAAGAAACTTTGGACACATCTGAAAGAACAAACTCCGGACACACCATTTTTAAGAACTGTAACACCGCGAGGGTCCACAGCTTCATTCTTGAAGTCAGTGAGACCAAAAACCCACAAATTTCGGACACACAAGTCTTCATTATTTTATGCCTTATTATAAATAGAAGAACGATAGGGTATTAGCTTTTCTGATTTATAGAAAATTAAATAAGAGACAAAGAGAATTTTTTTTATTTCAGGTAACTGAACAAAGTGGTGTTGAGACAAAAGTCCAGACTTGTATTTAAATATCTGAGTCTTGTTTTAATACCCTACCAGTGTCTTGACTAGCTCTATTCTCTGAATGTCTAACATAGTTAATTATACAGGAGGGAAAACCATACATTTTATAACCTATTATAACTTTAAATTTAATTCATATCGAGGACTGGGGGAAAAATCCCAAGACATGTTTTTAGGTCAGAGCTGTGTATAATTCTACCTCTTCAAATAATTTTTATCTTATGGATTATGATAATGTAATGTTCGTCTATCATAGCAATACCACTGAAAAGATGCAGGGGGAGAGGATAAAAATACATTAAAATACATCACTTTAATAAGGATTAAAATAATTAGGTGAAGGGAAATTATTCAACTGCTGTTGTAAGTATTTATTTAGTGTTAAATACTACTAATGATGCCAAAAGATTACTTGCTATTGTTATGGAAAAAGCATGGGTCCAGATAATCATGGTAATATGAAAATTACTGAGTTATTAAATACGTATGGAAAAGTCAAACGAAGATTGTCAGAGTATAGCACATGATGATTTATTTGGTCTTTTTTCTTTTCTAGTGACACATCATCTAAGAGAACTAAAAAGAAAAACAGTGTTCTGAATTCAAAGAGATCTATACAGTTTACGAGCAATTTTGTCTTCATTTCTCATTTATTTTTGCGTTTGTTATCATCAGCCATTTTCACCCTGGTGAAACTGACCCAAAAGTCCCCTAGACTGTTCTTTTAGATAAGCATAGAAATGGACTCTTCCGGTCTTAAACCTCAAAACTTAACATTTGTTTTATCTAAGTTTTTCCCTCAGGAAAGGACCTTCAGACCTCTCAAAAAAAGTATCAAAGAACTGAAACTCAGCAGATCACCATAACCTGATAATGAGATGCCTGACACTTTAACATGATTGCATCTTTGCCCCTCCCTAGTTCCTGATTTCTTACACATTGTTTCATTTCTTCCCTGCTATATAAACTCCTGGTTTTAGCAGTGGGGAGATGGATTTGAGACTGAGCTCCCATCTCCTTGGCTGCAGCACTGGATTAAAGCCTTCTTCCTTGCAATAACTGTCGTCTCAGTGATAGGCTTTCTGTGCTGTGAGCAGCAGGACCTAGACCAAACATCTGGTGTTTCAGTAACACTGGGAGAATCAGTATAATTGAAATCAAGGAGAGAATTTTGGTGGCCCAGATGTAAAAATGTTGCTAGACAGAAAAAACAAAACTATCAAGAGTTTTAGTAATTGTATGTGGCTAAAACAACAAATGGGAAAATTGAGGCAACAAAAAAGTGGAGCCTGTTTTCCCTAATAGAATTTTTTAATTTTTTTTTTAGATTTTTGTTTTTGCAGATGGGTCTAGAAGGTGTACGTAGGTCTATACATCCAAAGCAAGAGTAAAATTTCCTGCAGTCTTGTGGTGCTCTTACCAAAACAAAACTAAGAAGCCCACCAGATTATGGGCCTTTTTTCTGAGTAAAAGCTTTTCTACCTGAAAACATTTGCCATATTTTAAAACTAGTTATGATATGAGACTTGAGAAATGAGCTGGAAAATATCTCAATGGCAGAGCTGTGTTTTCCACTCTCAGGATGAAGAGGAAATAAGTAATAGGGCAGAAGTAACGTTCAAACATAATTATTTAAGAATTTTCAAAGGCTTTTAGAATTTATAAATTAAACCCTTCCATACTCATACAAAACTCAATGAAAGCATAATTTGCAAAGGTCAAGTCAGATGCAGATTGCAGCTGCCAGCCCCAATCCTGTCAATCAAATGATCTCTGTTGAAACATGATATCTGGGTGTTTTGTATTCCTTTTCATACAAAATAGCTGATAAAATAAAAGTAATAATGTGGAGAGACAAGCAAATATGATATAATCACGAGAATGTTAGAAGCTGATTCAATGATCATTTAGATACTGCAGTTAGCAGAAATTGACATAAAATAACCATGATTAATTTTTATAAGAAAATTAGACAAATCAGTGATATGTAGAATTTTACAGAAAAATTGAATCAATAAGAAGAGCAAAATTTTATTGTAAAATTGAACAACTACAACTGAAATTTAGAACAAAAATGTATTATTTGACATAGAACACAGGTTAGTGACCAAAAACCAAAATAAAAATATTTACATTTTAAAAAATCATAGGGAAATAAAAAATATGTAAACTAGATAAGAATAGGTAAAAGTATATGATACAAATGAGGAAATGTCAAAAGGTTTGACAGAAACATTTAATAATTTAAAGTTTATACACATAGTTTAATAATTAAAATATTTAAAAATAATTTTAAAATGTTTTCACACATATTTAATAGTTTATAAAGGTACAAATTACAGTTAGAAATGGAGAGACCATTTAGAAGATTATTAAAGTATCCTAGGTAAAACATGATGTAAGCTCAGACTAGGTAGTAGGAGTGGAAGTGGGATGAAATGATCACACAGATCCTTCATTTCATCATTCATTCAAAAAATATTTAATTTGTATGTGCAATGTGAAAAGACAGCTAGTAATCTAAAGAAAAATATTAATAGATACAGGACAGCCACTGCTTCTATGGAACACATGTTAAAATCATAACTGCATAGTATAAATTGTAACTAATAGTAAAGTATAATTCACACTCTATTGTTTATGGTTTTTTATTATCAAGAAACTTGTATATAAAATTTTTTTTAAAAGTTCAGCTCTTATTTATTTTTATTTTATTTATTTGTTTATTTATTTATCGACACAAGGTTTCACTCTGTCACCCAGGCTGGAATGCAGAGGCACAATCATGTCTCACTGCAGCTCGACTTCCTGGGCTTAAGGGATCCTCCCACCTCAGCCTCCCAGGTAGCTGGGCACATATGCACATACAACCATGCCTGGCTAATTTTTAATTTTTAATTTTTTGGTAGAGAAGTGGGTGATGGTTCTTGCCATGTTGCCCAGGTTGGTTTTGAACTCCTGGGGTCAACCAATCCTTCCACCTTGACCTCCCCAAGTGCTAGGATAGAGGATTAACTACAGTTGATAATTTGCAATTGTTAAGCAGGGTAGTCATGTGTATGGTGCTGACTAGGGGTGAGTGAAGATACACGTTTTTCTTCTTGGGACTTTTCCTTGTCTAATTTAATCCAAGCCACATATGGTGAATGTCTTTATTTAAAGATCCATAAGATCAGAAAAAGATCATCGTCATTCTCTGTGAAGTCATGCTGAAAGGGAGGGATAGAAATACATCTGGCAAATGTTATGTTAAACTCACCATCTGGGACCCAGACTCTCTCAAAATAAAAAAAAAAAACTTAAAAAAAAAGATAAACATAAACTCTATTTATTTTTTAGAATAAATATACTTAACATTCCTTGTTTTGAGCTATCCCATTAATGGCAAATATTTTTTAAGCAAACAGAGATCATGTTAAATATTTCTAACCATTTTTACTTAACTTTTTAAAATGTATAATCCTCACAGAATGTCTGTGAAGTAGAAAGAGACTGCATTATTTTATAGCTGAGAAAACTGTGGGTCTGAGAGTTTCCATGACAGGCTTACCAACTCTCAATTGATAAGAAGGAGCAAAAACTTGAACTTATGCTCTTCTCCCTCTATCAATCTCTTATACTTTCCATAATAGCTCAGTTTTATGAGTGTTTGCTGATTACATTTGAAATAGAGATTTAGAACAATTCAAAACAGTATCCTACTGCTAGTCTGTCAGAATTCAAACTAAAACCTACCTTTATTGCTACTAACGCAGTCTAATTTTACTGTGGTGCCTTTTCCCCTTATGCTTATGTACTATTTTCTCTTAGGAATTGAAACACTTTGCAGACATTACCCAATTAAACCTCACAAATTTCCCTTTGAGGTAGATATGGAATAACTGTTAATCATTTTTCCTTCTATATTTATATCTCTGTTAAGAGCGATAGAGGGCTTAGCAATCTGATACCATATAAGTAGCTTTCTTAGATTTAAAGGGGGAAAAAGCTCATACCACTAGGGCAGCCTCCATTAAATTTATATAACAGCAATAGAAATGGAGAAGCTTAGAAATGACATAATAATACAAAATATGAACTTTGGCTCATACTGTGAGAGCTAATATGTGGAGAGAAATTCATCATTATTGCTGGATATGAGAGATTTATACTTTTTGCATCATGTTCTTTTTAATGCCAATTTACAAACACACACAAGAAAACTTTCACTGAATTCTCTCCGATTTAGTGAGATCTGTGGAATCTTCAGACACTTTAAAAACTGCAATGTGATTTTCTTATAATATTTTAAAACAGGTTACTTTTAAATGCTTCATATTTTCGTATCTACTTGGGGAAGATGATTTCAAAAACATAACTAGTTATTTAACAACAAACATTGTTAAATACATAGCTTTGCGCTTACTATCTGGACTATATGTTACATTTTTTATTTGCTTGTTTCTTGCCCTAACACAGATACTGTTCACAGATGTCTACCCTGTGACCACTCCATTACATTTTATATGCTTCCTTTTCCTTTTTCTCTTTTTTTTTGGGGGGGGGGGGGACGGGGACAGAGTTTGGCTCTTGTTGCCCAGGCTGAAGTGCAATGGTGCGATCTCGGCTCACCGCAACTTCCGCCTCGCGGGTTCAAGCGATTCTCCTCAGCCCCTGAGTAGCTGGAATTACAGCATGCTGCACCACCATACCCGGCTAATTCTGTAATTTTAGTAGAGACGGGATTTCTCCAGGTTGGTCAGGCTGGTCTCCAAATCCCCTACCTCAGGTGATCCGCACGCCTCGGCCTCCCAAAATGCTGAGATTACAAGCGTGAGGCACCGTGCCCGACATTTTTTTTTTTTTATTTTTTAAAGACAGGGTCTCACTCTGTTGCCCAGACTGGAGTGCAGTGGTGGTTTGGGCTCACTGCAACCTCCACCTCCTGGGTTCAAGCAATTCTCATGCCTCAGCCTTCTGAATAGCTGGAATTACAGGCGTGTACCACAATGCCCGGCTAATATTTGTATTTTTAGTGGAGATGGGGTTTCGCCATGTTGACCAGGCTCCTTGTTCTAATCCATTCTCTATTCCCTATTACTTATTGAAGTAAAAGCTCTTCAAAGTTGTCTTATGTATTACAACTGAATGTGTTTGTTAATATGTGGTAACATTTGAAGATATTAACTGTATCTTGTAGTACTTAATCATAAACATGAGGAATTATTTTGATGCTAATAAATAAGATCTAACACGTTTGTGAGAATATTATACTTTTCAGTTTTTCCACTTTCACAATCTATATCTTGGAATGTTCTCTCTATCCCAGTTGAGATTATCTAGTTCCCTTCTTATACACAAAAAAGATGATTTTTTTATCCTAATATTAGATTTTGTTTCTGACTCCAGTCATAATATTCTTATATAATTTTCTTATATATTTGTTATTAAACAGCTTCCTACCATCTTACTTTTCATAAATCTAAGCATATTTATTAAAAATAAATGTATAACATTGTCAAGACATGATAAGGACAGATAGAATTTACAAACTGTGTGATTGCAAGAAGTTTTAATAAAAGATCTCTTTACAAAGATGTGGACAGGGCTTGGTGAGGGTGGGTAGGAATAGCAAAGTAACCCAGGAATCATACATTTAGGGTTCTAATATCATTCCTAAACCTAAAGAAACAAAGAATAAAGCAATTACTAGAACCTGGAGAGGTAGTGGTATAGAGAGGACTGTTGTAATCTGTACTAAAATGTGACAAACCTATGAACTGGCAGGGAGACAAACGTTAGACACCCCCAGTGTGGGGCATAGTGGTGGCTCACTCCTGAAATCCCAACAATTTAGGAGGCTAAGAAGGGAGGATGCCCTGAGCCCAGGAGTTTCAGGTCAGCTTGGGCAACATAGTGAGGCTCCGTCTCTCAAAATATTTAAAAAATTAGATGGGCATGGTTGTGCATGCCTGTAGTCCCAGCTACTCAGAAGGCTGAGGAGGGAGAACCACCAGAACCCGGGAGTTCGAGGCTGCAGTGAGCCATGATCTTGCCACTGCACGGTCTCCTGGGCAACAGAGTAAAACCTTGTCTCAAATAATAATAATAAATAAATGCCACACCTTTTTCTCCCTGCCTTTGACACCTGCTGGTGTCTTGTATTGAGAAATTCCAGCAGAAGTTAGAAAGCAAAACAGTTCAATGATATAGCTGAGTCATTTCTCTAGAACATATAGCACGATGTGTAAGTGTGGAGTGCAGATACGGGGAGGGAAACAGGAAATACATAACACAACAGGCTTTAATATCTCTTTATTGAGTCTTCTACTGCTTTCATACCTGAGCTATTACATATGAAATGCATATTATAATGATTTTCCTTGATCCTATTTATCTTTTATATTTATGTTATTGGCTTCCCAGTGATTTAAAAAATATGTGGAGTTAATTAGGTTATGTAATTTATGAAATGCATTTTAGGGATGTAAAGGAAGTACCAGAAATGATGTAGGTTAGGTAGGATTGAGAACTGTACTTTTGGAGAGTACTAATAAAGCTCGATTGTTTAAATAATTTCAGGAGCTCAAGCTGAAATTTTTTTCCTTTGGCTTTCAGAGCTTCAAGTGCTGTAGATAACAGCTGAAAAGATTTTGCTATAGTCACATGATCTTGCCCATTACCCAGTATGTGCATCAGTGTCTTTCTGTGTCCTAACTCCATGCAGCGTCTGTCCATCCTCTAGTTCTAATTTTTTTCAGGTTAATTTACACTAGAATTTAGAGTGAATATTTTGGGTCCCAGAATGTTGACCCTTTTGTTTTCTAAACTTTTTTTTTTTGTTTTGAGACAAGTCTCGCTCTGTTGCCCTGGCTGGAGTGCAGTGGCGCGATCTAGGCCCACTGCAGTCTTAGCCTCCCGGATTCAAGCGATTCTCCTGTCTCAGCCTCTTGAGTAGCTGGGACTACAGGTGGCCACCACCACACCTGGCTAATTTTTGTATTTTTAGTAAAGATGGGGTTTCACCATGTTGGCCAGGATGGTCTCAATCTCCTGAACTTGTGATCCACCCACCTCAGCCTCCCAAAGTGCTGGGATTACAGGCGTGAGCCACTGCACCTGGCCTCTAAACTTGTTCTTATTTTGCAACTGTATTATTTTCCTCTCCCTGCTTCTTAACCCTGCCAGCCATTACTTCAAGCCTACTAGAAATAACATTTCAGTCAACTCAGATGACATAATTGATTTCCCATGTATTTATAACTTTTATAAATGCAATGGAGGCACTATACATTGTATATTTATTATTCGTCTTTGGCTTTTATCTCCATTTCTGCCTTTACATGTTCTCTTCCATATCACTGGAGTTTAGAAGGCTGAAAACTACATTTCTCATGTTCCCTTGCCAACCAATGGGAGGTACTGAAGGAAGATTGTAAGGTGGGAGAAGAGAAAATGTGTTCTTTTTTGGTTCTATTCACGTATCCAGTAGCAGCCACAACAGCTTCTGATTTAGGCAGTGTTGTGTCAAAAAACCAGTTGAAGTAAATCCCAGTAGCCTCAGTCAGAAGAATGGCACCTATGGACCTGCGTCAGGCAGTGGAAGCAACAACAGTAAGCACCACGTTAATCTCAATAGCAGAGTGCCCATAGACTCTGACTTCTGCAGTAACTATAGCAGTAAAAGCTTTGGGCAATTTGAGGCTGCCAGGCCTGCCTTGCCTAATGGGACTATAGACTTGTGGCTCCTGCAAAGCTTCAGCAATGGTGATTCCAATAGATACAACACCACAGATACTCCAGAAGCCTCACTGGCATATGGATCATTGGCTTTGGGCAGTGTTCCCTGTTATTTTTCCTGGCGTGATGAAAGGTGGTGTTTACTATAGTTTCTCCTCTCTTGGTAACCACACTTTTTCTTTCTCGCTTTTTTTTTTTTCAGCTTTTATTTTGGGTGCATGGGTACATGTAGAAGCTTGTTATATAGGTTATATAGTGCACGCCATGTGGGTTTGGTATACAGTTTATTTCGTCAACCAGGTATTAAGCATAGTACTCAACAGGTATTTTTTCTGACACTCTCCAACCTCCCACCCTCCACCCTCAAGTACGCCCTGGTGTCTGTTGTTGCTCTTTATGTCATGTGTTCTCACTGTTTAATTCCCACTAATAAGTGAAAACATGAAGTATTTGGTTGTTTTCTGTTCCTGCATTACTTTCCTTAGGATAATGACCTCCGGCTCCATCTAAGTTACTGCAAACGACATGATCCCATTGTTTTTTATGGCTGCATAATATTTCATGGTGTGTATGTACCATATTTTCTTTTTATCCAGTCTAACATTGATGGGCATTTAGATTGATTCCATGTCTTTGCTATTGTGAAAAGTCCTACAATTAACATATGTGTGCATGAGTCTTTATGGTAGAATGATATATATTCTCGTGGGTATATACCCAATAATGAGATTGCTGGGTCGAATGGTAATTCTGTTTTAAGTTTTTGAGGAATCACCACAATGCTTTCCACAATGCCTGAAACAATTTGCACTCCCACCAGAAGTATATAAGTGCTCCATTTTCTCCACAACCTTGCCAGCACCTGTTAGTTTTTTGACTTTTTAATAGTAGCCATTCTGACTGGTGTGAGATGGTTTCTTACTGTGGTTATTATTTGCATTTCTCTAATAATTAGTGATGTTGAGCGTTGTTTTCTTATGCTTGTTGGCCACATGTATGCCTTCTTCTGAAAAGTGTCTTTTCATGTTCTTTGTCCACTTTTTAATGTGGTTGCTTGTTTTTTGCTTGTAAATTTGTGCAAGTTCCTTATAGATTCTGGACATTAGACCTTTGTCAGATGCACAGTTTGCAAATATTTTCTCCCATTCTGCAGGTTGTCTTTTACTCTTGATAGTTTCTTTTGCTCTGCAGAAGCTCTTTAGTTTAATTAGATCCTTTTTGTCAATTTTTGCTTTTTTTGCAATTGCTTTTGGCATCTTTGTCATGAAATCTTTGCCAGGTTCTATATGCAGAATGGTATTTCTGAGAGTATCTTCCCGAGTTTTTGTATTATTAGGCTTTACTTTTCAGTCTAATCTACCCTGAGTTGATTTTTGGATATGTAGTACAGAAGGGGTACAGTTTCAATCTCCTGCATATGGCTAGCCAGTTTTCCCAATACCATTTATTGAATAAGGAGTCCTTTCCTGATTGCTTTGTTGAAGATCAGACGGTTGTAGCTGTAGCATTACTTCTGGGCTCTCTATTCTGTTCCATTTGTCTATGTGCCTGCTTTTGTACCAGTACCATGCTGCTTTGGTTACTGTAGCCTTGCAGTATAAATTGAAGTCAGGTAATGTGATGCCTCCAGCTTTGTGCTTTTTGCTTAAGATTGCCTTGGCTATTCAGGCTCTTTTTTGGTTCCATGTGAATTTTTAAAAAGTTTTTTTTCTAATTCTGCGAAGAATTTCTTTGGTAGTTTGACAGGAATAGCATTGAATCTGTTCATTGCTTTGGGCAGTATGGGATGGCCATTTTAACAACACTGATTCTTCCTATCCATGAGCATGGAATGTTTTTCCATTTGTTTGTGTTATCTCTGATTTCTTTTGGCAGTGTTTTGTAATTCTTGTTGTAGGGATCTTTTACTTCCCTGGTTAGCTGTATTCCTAGGTATTTTTTGTTCTTTTTATGTCAACTGCGAATGGGATTGCATTCCTGATTTGGCTCTCAGCTAGGATGTTGTTGGTGTATAGGAATGCTACTGATTTTGTGTCCTAGAATTTACTGAAGTTGTTTATCAGACCAAGGAATTTTGGGCAAAGATTATGGGGTTTTCGAGATAAAGAATCATGTTGTCTGTAAATATGGATAGTTTGACTTCCTCTCTTCCTGTTTAGATGTGTTTTATTTCTTCCTGCTTCCTGATTGCTCTGGCCAAGACTTTCAGTACTTTGTTGAATAGGAGTAGTGAGAAAGGGCATTATTTTCTTGCTATAGTTTTCAAGGGCAATTCTTCCAGCTTTTTCTCATTTAGTATGAGTCATAGATGGCTGTTATTATCTTGAAATATGTTTCTTCAATGCATAGTTTATTAAGGATCTTTAACATAAAGTGATGTTGCATTTTATCAAAAGCCTTTCCTACATCTATTTAGATAACCATGTGGCTTTTTGTTATTAGTTCTCTTTCTGTGATGAATTACATTTATTAATTTGTGAATGTTGAACCAACCTTGCATCCCTCTTACAACCAATATGATCATGGTGAATCAGCTTTTGATATGTTGTTGCATTTGGTCTGCTAGTATTTTGTTAAGAATTTTTGCATCTACGTTCATCAAGAATATTGGCCTAAAGGTTTCTCTTTTTTGCTGTGTCTCTGCCAGGTTTTGTTATCAGGAGGATGCTGGCCCTAGGGAATAAGTTCCTTAATTTTTGGGAACAGTTTCAGTAGGAATTCTACCAGCTCTTCTTCATATGTCTGGTAAAATTTGGCTGTGAATCTATCTGCCCCTGGGCTTTTTTTGGTTGGTAGGCTTTTTATTACTGGTTCAATTTTGGAACTCATTACTGGCCTGTTCTGGGATTCAGTTTCTTCCTGGTTCAGTCTTGGAGGCAACCTCACTTTTTTCTACTTATAGCCTATCCATTTTATAATGAATTTTATATGTTAAAGCTCTTCTAAAATGCCTATAGTTGTGGGGGATGGTGGTTCACATCTACAATCTCAACATTTTGGGAGGCCAAGGTTGGCAGACTGCTTGATTTCAGGAGTTCAAGACCAGCCTGGGCAACATGATGAAACCCCATCTCTAAAAAAAATACAAAAATTAGCCAGGGATGGTGGAATGCACCTGTAGTGTCAGCTACTTGCAGGGCTGAGGTGGGAGGATCACTTGAGCCTGAGAGGTCAAGGCTGCAGTGAGCCGTGATCATGCCACTGTACTACAGCCTGAGTGACAGAGTGAGACCCTGTCTCAAATAATAATAATAATAATTTTTAAAATTAAAATGCTTAGAGTGGTATCTACTTTTCTGACTATATATTGGCATCTGTATTTTTCTTTAAGTCTCCCTTTGACAATTTTAATTGTATTTAAAATCAATTTTCATTAAATAATGTGCCTTTGTATAATTTGTGTGTAATTTGGTTATTATCTGTATTAGTATGTTCTCTAAAGAACTTGAAATAATTGTCTTCTCTTTGCTAACATTTTATTGAAATACCTTTTTATCTCATTTGTAAATTGAATTATTACAGTACTTATGCTGACTTCTTTCAAAAAATGCAGAATGTTTTTGAATGTATTCTCCAGCATGCCCCAAATTAGGAATTGTTTTGATCTCAAACTTTCTGATCATAATTTATATTGGAATTATTATTTCATAGTTAAATCATTTATCCATAAAACATTATTAAACATTAAAAATATTGCTAAGGAACAAAATTGACTTCTCTTATAAGTGTTTACACATGCAAAGTTGCAAAATCTCTCTCTTTTTCAACCACATTACTTACAATATTGATACAATTTGGTGTTCTCTTAAATAATGTCTTAAAAATCCATATGCCCTCAGCCAGTTAAACACTTACTATGGTCTCAAATGTACTTGAGAGTTTATGGGTAAAGACTATTTGCAGAATTACCATCTCTGCAAAATTAATCAGTGTGAATTCTCTTACTTTCATTTTAACTGCAGGTATTATTCATGTAAGTCTCTCACTCCTCCAACTGTTACATGTATCATATTTTTTTAATGTGCTTTATAAAATTTTATTATGCACAAAAAACCACCACATCTGTGTTTGAACCATGTTGGTCTGAATCATCAGGCCAGAGAAAATCGTCTTTTGTAAACTGGATAGCATCATAAACATTTCATTAAATTTAGAAGACTAAACTGACAAAGATTGCACAACCACTGGGTTTATATCCAAGCTCTTCTCCATAATTCATTTCTTCCTTTCTTTCACTAACCATCACTGATTCTATGAATCCCATTTAATTTTCCATAATTCTCAAAAACAATCTTAAACTCTAACTTATCCTACAGTTCTTAGGTTTCCTTCTGGGGATAAAATATTAAATTGCTGCTCCTAGAAATGCCTGGTATTCTATACATCAGCCATTTTTTTCTACTATGCTCTGACTGTTGCTCCACTTGTAGAAGTACAAATGTCACAATTTTGCCCAGTAATAATGACTGGCTTACCTACAACTGAATGCAAAGCCATCACCATACAGGAAACATTCTGTGATACAATTTATGCAAATCAAAAGTCTAAAGGAATATTTATTGCTTTTATTCCACATATAGTGATATAATTTGCCTATTATTTTTATTTTAAAATGGGAACTTTTTGTTCTGTGCATTCTTCTACAGAGGGGATTATTTTATTATAGTCCTCTTTTGCCAGCAGTTATTAGAGATAACAGGCAAAAATTTTATGCAATAATGCAGTACTATAATTTTTCCTTAGAACTGTTTTTCCGGGCCAGGTGCGGTGGCTCACGCCTGTAATCCAAACACTTTGGGAGGCCAAGGCAGGCAGATCACGAGGTCAAGAGATTGAGACCATCCTGGCCAACATGGTGAAACCCCGTCTCTACTAAAAATACAAAAATTAGCTGAGTGTGGTGGCACGTGCCCGTAGTCCCAGCTACTCGTGAGGCTGAGGCAGGGGAATCGCTTGAACCCGCGAGGTGGAGGTTGCAGTGAGCCGAGATCGCAACCCTGCACTCCAGCCTGGTGACAGAGTGAGACTTCGTCAAAAAAAAAAAAAAAAAAAAAAAAAAAAAAAGAACAATTTTTCCAAATATCCTAAGACTTTAACAGTCATTTTTCTTTTGCTAAAATTTCAATAGCCTCTAGATATTTGCTCAAAGTTATGCAAAGATTATTTCACTTTCTGACATATATTCTGAATTCACTTCACTGTACATGTACGAAATATAGAAGACAATGACCTCACTTTATCGGCCACAGAATAAATGCCTCAAAGGTACCCATAAGTCAGTAGCATCACAAGACACTCGGATTTTCCATTTAAACTGCTCTTCCAAAGAATTAAGATAAGTGAAAAGGTAAATAAAAACAACAAAAATCATAAAAAAATTTTAAGAAAATCTTTCATCACAAGTTCATATAAGAAGGATATAAAAATACATCAAGCATATAAAGTTAAAAATCAAGATTTCTGAACAACACTTGATTGTGAAGTTGTGGTAAAAAAATGTATTCAAATGATGTACAAAAATATGTATTTCAGTAACATAAAGAGTTTAATATAAAGTTAAAAAATCAGTTTTTGTAGCCGGGCGTGGTGGCGGGCACCTGTAGTCCCAGCTACTCCGGAGGCTGAAGCAGGAGCATGGCGTGAACCCGGGAGGCGGAGCTTGAAGTGAGCCGAGATAGCGCCACTCTACTCCAGCCTGAGGGACGGAGCGAGACTCCGCCTCAAAAAAAAAAAAAAAATTCAGTTTTTGACAACCATTCATGACTAAATTTCTACTATTGTTCTATTAGTATTGATCATTTTCATTTTTCTTATCCTTCCATAATTTACAAGAGGTAGATTTTCTGGTGTAATAGCTTTCACAATAATTCATTTTTTGTGTGTGACTTTTTCAAGTTTTATTTATTTTTAGTTTTAATTTTTTAATTTTTTTTTTTTTTTGAGATGGAGTCTTGCTCTGTCGCCCATGCTGGAGTGCAGTGGTGAGATCTCATCTCACTGCAACCTCTTCCTCCTAGGTTCAAGCGATTCACCCACCACCACGCCCAGTTAATTTTTGTAGTTTTAGTAGAGACGGGGTTTCACCATGTTGGCCAGGCTAGTTTCCAACTCTTGACCTCAAGTAATCTGCCCACCTCGGCCTCCCAAAGTGCTGGGATTACAGGCGTGAGCCACTGCGCTCGGCTTCAAGTTTTAAAATTCTAAAGTATCTTTAACACCCTAAATTACAGGAATACTATCTAAAAGATTCTGATTTTATTCTTTCACTCTTCCTGAATATCCAGAGACTGTTTTTTTCTCAAAAGTCTTCATTTTCATAGATCTAAAGATATGTCTTTTTCTGCCTTCAAAAAAACTAACAAATATTTTTGACTTTGGAGTTTTTGAAACAATTATTTTAAATGTATATTATTTTAGGATGGCTATTATTTTATTTTTCAACTTTTATTTAGATTCAGGGGCAGGTTTGTTACAAAGGTCTATTGCATGATGCTGAGGTTTGGTGCATGATTTAACCCATCACCCAGGTGGTAAACAGCAGCAGTTTTCCAACACTTGCCCCCATCCCTCTCACCCCACTGCTGTAGTCCCCAGTGTCTACTGTTCCTATCTTTATGTCCATGAGTACATAATGTTTAGCTCCCACCTAAAAATGAGAACATGCAGAATTTAATTTTCTGTTTCTGCATTAGTTGGCTTAGGATAACGGCCTCCAGCTGCATCCATGTTGCTGTAAAGGAAATTATTTTGTTCTTTTTTAATGGCTACATTTTATTCTATCATATATATGTACCTCATTTTCTTTGTCCAATCTACTATTGATGAGTACCTACATTGATTCCATGTCTTTGCTATTGTGAATATTGCTGTACTAAACATCTGGGTGTATGTCTGTTTTTGGTAGAATTATTTTACTTTTGGCACATACCCAGTAATGGGATTGCTGGATCAAATGATAATTCTATTTTAAGTTCTCTGAGAAATTTCCACAATGGCTGTAATAATTTACAGACCCACCAACAATGTATAAGTGTTCCCTTTTCCCTGCATCCTCACTAACATCTGTTATTTTTTGACTGTTTAATAATAGCCATTCTGACTCGTATAAGATAATACCACATCAAAGTTTTGATTTGCATTTCTCTGATGATTGTTGATGATAAGCATTTTTTCACTTCTTTGTTGGTAACTTGTATGTCTTCTTTTGAGATATGTCTGTTCATGACCTTTGTCCACTTTATCATGGGGTTATTTGTTTTTTGCTTGTTGATTTATTTTTTCCTTTTAGATTCTGAATATTAGATCTTTGCTGGAGGCATAGCTTTCAAGTATTTCTCTCATTCTGTAGGTTATCTTTTTACTATGTTGACGATTTTTTTTCTATGCAGAAGCTCTTTAGTTTAATTAGGTCCCACTTGTCATTTATATTTGATTGCTGCAATTGTTTCGGAGGACTTAGCCATTTATTCTCTGCCAAGGCCAAATCAGGAAGGAAATTTCCTAGGTTTTCTTCTAGGATTTTTATAGTTTTAGGTCTTACTGACTCTTTAATCTGTACTGCATTAGTGTTTGTGTATGGTGAAGGGTGGGGGTCCAGTTTCATTCTTCTGCATATGGCTAGCCATATCCAGCACTATTGATTGAATAAGAAGTCCTTTCTCCACTGCTTATTTTTATCAACTTTGTCAAAGATCAGATGGTTGTAGGTAAGCAGCTTTAATTCTGGGTTTTCTATTCTGTTCTGTTGGTCTGTGTGTCTGTTTTTGTACCAGTACCATGCTGTTTTGGTTACTGTATCCTTGTAGTATAGTTTTAAGTCAGGTAGTGTGATGCCTCCAGATTTGTTCTTTTTGCTTAGGAGTGCTTTGGCTATTTGAGCTCTTTTTAGTTCCATGTGAATTTCAGAATAGTTTTCTTTCCCTAGTTGTGTGAAAAATGTCTTCAGTAATTTGATAGGAATAGTGTTGAATTTCTAGACTGCTTTGGGAAGTATGGTCATTTTAAAGACACTGATTCTTCCAATCCATGAGCATGGAATGTTTTCCCATTTGTTTGTGTCACTTATGACTCCCTTCAACAACGTTTTGTAGTTATCCCTGTAGAGATTTTTCATCTCCTTGCTTAGATGTATTCTTAAGTGTTTTGTTTTGTTTTGTTTTGTTTTCATGGCTGTTGTAAAAGAGATTGCTTTCTTGATTTCACTCTCAGTTTGAATGTCATCATTGTATAGAAATAGTATTCACTTCTGTACATTGATTTGATATCCTGAGACTTTACTAAAGTCATTTGTCAATTCTAGGAGAATTTTGGTGTAATCTTTAGAGCTTTTTAGATATAAAATCATATCATCAGTGAAGATAGGTTGATATTTTCTTTTCCTATTTGGATGCTTTTTATTTCCTTCTCTTGCCTGACTACTCTGAATAAGACTTCTAGTACTATGTGAATAGGATTGGTGACAGTGAGCTTCCTTATCTTGTTCTAGTTCTTCAGAGGAATGGTTCCAGCTTTAGTCCACTCTGTATGATGTTGGCTTTGAGGTTGTTATATATGACTCTTATTAATTTGAGGTAGGTTCCCTCAATGCCTAGTTTGTTGAGGTTTTTTTTTTAATCACATTTAGGTACATAGCCTACAGATGCTATGAAGCAACTGCACAATTGAGAATACAAAGCAATCAGCTTACAATACTACTACAGAAACGAAATCTCAAATATCAATATTAACCTTGAATGTAATGTTCTAAACGCCTCACTTGAAAGGTACAATCTGGCATGTTGGATAAAAAAAAATACTGAACCCTCTGCTGTCTTCAAGAGACCCATCTTACATATAATGACACCCACAGTCCCAAGGTAAAGTGAGAAAGATCTAGCACACTAATGGAAAACAAACAAAGAAACAAAAAAGAGCAGTGGTCACTATTCTCACACCAGATAAAACAGACTTTAAACTAACAATGGTTAAAAAGGGCTAAGTATGGCATTACATAATGATAAGGTATTCAATTCAAAAAGAAGACTTAACTATCCTAAATATATACACATCCAACATTGGAGCACCTAGATTTATAAAACTAGTAGTTGTAGATCCATAAAAAGACTTAAACAACCACACAATAATAATGAGGGACTTCGACACTCCACTGACAGCATTAGACAGATCATCAAGGCAGAAAACTAACAACGAAATTGTAGACTTAATTTCTATACTTGACCAGTTAGACCTAATAGGCATTTACAAAATACTCATCTAATAACCACAGAATATACATTCTTTTCATCTGCACATAGGACATACTCTAAGATTGACCACATGCTCAGCCATAAAGTAAGTCTCAATAAATTAAAAAAAAATCAAAATTATAGCAAGCATACTCTTAGACCAAAATGGAATAAAAATATAAATCAATACCAAGAAGATCTCTCAAAAACCACACAATTACATGGAAACTAAATAACTTGCTCTCGAATGACTTTTGGGAAAACAAATAGTTTAATGTATTGCTACAATGTAGTGGTCAGGCTGTCAGGTGTAAATCTAGGCTCTTCTAATATACACTATTGTGAGCAACTTATTACTCATGGTAAGCCTAATATTCTTCTCTGAACAATGGAGATAATAATATACTTCCCTTTGGATTTGTTATTAGGATTAAATGAGATAATACATATAAAATGTTTATCAAAATATTTTTAGTAAATATTAGTTCTAGTCTTACATTTATGTTACTTTCTGACTTATACAACTTTTTAATAATATTCCAAAATTTGATAAATTTTAGGCTCATTGAAGAAAATAGCTTACTCTTTATTGAATATTTTAATTCTCATTTTGCCTAAATATGCTCTGAATAGCATTTTTATTAAACACTTGTGATATATTTCTTACCTATGCAGTGCACTATAACGAGAACATACAACAAAACAAATCTGAGGTTTTAGTTGTATTCTTTCCCCATTCAGTAATGTCCCTCCTTTAATCAACACTTTAATATCTCAGTGGAAAAAAGCTACTTGATCTGATTGGTTATGGATTATTTTAGTAAGTATAATACTTTCTCCCTTCAGGCTTATATTAACTACTTATTTTCAGTAATTTGTATATAATTTGTCTGAGTTTGAGCTACCAAATTTAGAAAAAAAAAACACTGAGAAATCAAAGTGCATTTACTTATTTGGTGATGTGCATTACATTTCTAATTAGCATTTCTAGAAATAAATTGATTTTACCTGTTTCAGTTGAATAAAGTTGATTATGGGACAGTGCCCTTTGTATATTTTGTCATGGTAGAAAATACTTTTTGGTAAGCTCTCCTCAGTAAATAGCATCACCATGCAAATTTTGAAGTGTACCTTTTGCAAAGGCTCCATTATTTCATTGGATTTTAACATTTCTGATGCTCTAGATTTTGAGATCATTAATTTTATTTCTTCCTGAATTGAAGAGTTTGTAAATTATACTCATGCACACCAATTGCCTTTGAATCTTACTCCATTATTACTGAGTAAATTTTCATACAGCAGCATCGTATTCTGCTGCTCTGCCATATTAGTATTCTTTTAACTATGTCTTCCTACTTTAATTTAAATATGACCCTTCCCTTCTAAAAGCTCAGTCCAAAAATCAGGTTCTATGCCAACAAGATTTGCATAGTCACCTTCAATTTACAAAATATTTATTAAACTTGTTTAGGCACTTACATTTTTAGTTGTATTATATTTAGATTTGGCTAAGTTTCTGTCCTTGCTATTTTTATATTTTAATCTCCATCACAATACTTTTCAGTTTTTTGCAGTTTGTTTCTCTCTTAATTTGTTTTGAATTCTTTGAGGTATGTTTCTGATTCTTCTTTGTAACACAATTTCCAGGATATATAGCAGATGCTGAGGGAAATTTTTACTGAATGAGTTAAGAGGTCTGACCATTACCATTAAAATTAGAGTTGCTGAGATATCTTCTAAATCTGCCTTCCTCTGGTGTGTATTGAAAATGTCTTGGGATCCATCTCACATCCTACTGGCCCCCTTTTTGTACTAGCCATTGTCACCACCACTAGCTTTATAAAGATGTAGCCATAATTTCCATCCGCTGAAGCATGCACCGCCTATTTTCTACACCAGGGCTTCTCTGATCCACTGTGCAGGATGCTTCTAGGAACACACGTGGCACTCATGTATGTGCAGCCTAGAAGCATGGAGAAGTGAACACATCATAAGTTAGTCATTCCACAGTAGAGAAAAAGGTGAATGTGTGCTCACGTCTTCGGTTACTCAGGTAGAAAGTACTGAGACACGTTATCCACATTGTTTCAAAAGATTCTGGGACACTTGCGTTATTTTTCATTCTTCTTTGTTTTATGCTCCCCAGACTCCACTTCCACAAACTACAGCATTCATGCAGTCTCTTGTTAGATCTCCTTTCTGTGGGGAGAAGAGACTAAGATGTGTCCTCCACTTGCATACAGTTGATCTATTTTATAGGTACTGCAGATGATCAGGCTTCAGAAAATGCACCATTCAATATGTCTTTTTCCTGTCTATAAAAATGTCTGGATTGGCCGGGCGCGGTGGCTCACGCCTGTAAATCCCAGCACTTTGAGAGGCCAAGGCGGGTGGATCACGAGGTCAGGAGATCGAGACCGTCCTGGCTAACAAGGTGAAACCCCGTCTCTACTAAAAATACAAAAAATTAGCCACCGCGGTGGCGGGTGCCTGTAGTCCCAGCTACTCAGGAGGATGAGGCAAAGAATGGCCTGAACCCGGGAAGCGGAGCTTGTGGTGAGCCGAGATCCCGCCACTGCATTCCAGCCTGGGCGACAGAGCCAGACTCCGTCTTAAAAAAAAAAAAAAAAAAAAAAAAAAAAGTCTGGATTTCTATAACGGGTACCATGATCAAATGTGTTCCCCTAACAGGAATTTTAAAAGTTTTAATATGTAATATTGTGTCAAGCTTGCAATGTTATTTTTTTAAAGAAATATTTTCTCCTCAAGCTAATGTTTTTGTTTTTGTTTTTGTTTTTGTAGATAGAGTATTACTCCGTCGCCCAGGCTAGAGTGCCATGGCGCAATCTGGGCTCACTGCAACCTTTGCCTCCCCGTTTCAAGTGATTCTCCTGCATCAACCTCCCGAGTAGCTGGGACTACAGACTGTCACCACCACGCCCAGCTAATTTCTGTATTTTTAGTAGAGGTGGGGTTTCACCATGTTGGCCAGGCCAGTCTTGAACTCTATAACTTTCTCTCTGCCTCAGTTTTCTTTTTTGTAAATTAGTTAACATACCTTATTCCATACACGTTTGTGAGGATTAAATAAATTAATATATCTAAAAATTTCAGCAACCCACCTATTGCGAGGGCTTACATATTAACTAAAAGCTTCTATTATTTTTATTACATAATAATTTTGTTATCTTATTAAGTTGTTACTACTTGCTAATATCGAATTTTATGTATGCTAAATTGTCATAAAAATAAGCTGAAAGGCCGGGCACGATGGCTTACGTGTGTAATCCCAGCACTTTGGGAGACTGAGGCATGTGGATCACAAGGTCAAGAGATCGAGACCATCCTGGCTAACATGGCGAAACCCCGTCTCTACTAAAATTACAAAAATTAGCCAGGTGTGGTGGCAGGCACCTGTAGTCCCAGCTATTCGGGAGGCTGAGGCAGGAGAATCACTTGAACCTGGGAGGTGGAGGTTGTAGCCAGCCGAGAGTGGGCCACTGCATTCCAGCCTGGCAACAGAGCAAGACTCCATCTCAAAATTAAATAATAATAATAATAATAAGCTGAAAGTATTTAGACATATGCATGCCTCCTTGCTCACATCTTTCCCCAAATGTACACAATCTAGATATTATTTTCATACCCCTTTGAGTGTGTTTTCATACTTTTTTTTTTTTTACTGTCTGGAATATTCTGCTCCCTTTTCATCTGAGAGAAAAAAAAAAGCAATAAAGCAAAACAAAAATAAACCTAACAAAAATATCTCCCCTTGGAAGGCAGTGAGGCAGGACTTCATGTAATGTTTAACAGTTTGGACTTCAGAGACAGTCCAACTTAGTTGGATATTAGTTTTGCCACCAACCAGTTAAATGATATTGGGCAGGTTATTTAAACTGTATAAGATTCCATTTCTACAACTAAAATCCAAAGAGTAGTAATAAACTTACTTTCTGTGTTGTTGAAAGATTCTGATGAGATACAACATAGAAAGTCCTTGGCAAAACACAAAGGGAAGAGTAAACACTCAGTATAGAATTACTTGATCTTTCAGGACTCATCCATAAACTCCTTTAGAATATCTTCACCATTTCCTCTTTTCAAAACCGATTGTGTCCTTCTTTGTGATATTAAGTGTGTAGTGATGCATTTTCTCCATATAATTCAGTTCTTTTAACCCTTGTTTCTTTTAAATTTATGTCACAGATCTTAGTCTATGACATCCTTAATTATCAATTAGATACTTCTTTGTACTTCTGGAACATAATAGGCACTCACTAAATTTTATTTTCATAAAAAAAATGAAGAAAATTTTCCTTCAAAATGGTTAAGTATAAAATTGTGATGCAACTTAAAGCATAGGTTTGGGAAAAGGTAGATATAAAGACTTAGATATGTTTCTATGCATTATTACAGCAGATTTTTACATAAAATGAGGGAAATACCTTTATTGGCCAACATGTTTAAGGAAATACCGGTATTTTGGTAAATACTTTTAGTTATCATAAGGAATTATCATTGAAATGTTCTTTAACAACTACCTTTTTTGTGTACTATAAAATTATCAAGTTCAATGTGTATTTTACAGCCCACAGTGTTATTTTATGACTGGTTATTTTTTCATTCAACCATGTCACAAATTTTTATTGAGGTATTTATTAACATTTTATTTTGTATTATGCAAAGCTCTAGGACAGCTACTTTGGGGAATATAAAAATTAAGTATGACAGAATTCCTATCTGCAAAAACTTTCTATTCAAATTAATGGTGATGATACTTGCACATAATAATATAAAAATGCAAAAATCATTGTATTTTGTTAAAGAGGTAAATATAGAGTAATATGTGTGTTATGCACCACACTGAAAAATTTAGAGACCTTATACAGAAAAATCACTTCAGATTTCAGATTGAAAAATGTAAGGAATTTAAGAGGGTCTTCCATGGGTACTGTTGGGACTCAAAATAAAAATGAACAGTGTGACCAAATGTTACAAGGAACTGGGAAGTTAGAATGAGCAGACTGAAACACTAAATTTCACATCATTCTATTATGTGATGGGGCAAAATGCAGAATCATTTAAGACAGAATGCAAGAGAAAGAAATGTATGGTTGCAAACCATGTAAACCAACGAGTACTGGTTATATAATTTGGGGACCACAGTGTAACATAATAATGTGGCCCTCCGGGCAAAAATTAAGAATTTCAAGATAATAATATCAGAGTATTAAACTAAGTATGGGACCTGCATAAGGGCAGGACTTGTGAGAAAAGAAAGTTCCCTGGAACCCTTGGCGAGACTAGTGACAGGTGTGTGGCTCGCTTACTCGGCTGCCATGCTCAAACCCCTTGTGGGAGGGGGAGCATGCAGGTGAGTAGGTGCTGGGGCCAGGTGAACACTTTTGGGCTCTGGCCCTAGGACAGCGTCTAGGGGTGTGTTACAATTAATGTTCTTTTAGCAGTTACCATCCACTGACAGCTAAGTGTTCATCAGCTCAGTGGAGAGTCAGGGTGACAGCCTTTTACACCCTGCCCTCTTGGTACCCAGGTCCTTGTCTGGTGTCCAGGAAGAAACAAGTCACATGCACTTGAAGGCAGATACATGGATCCATTTCAATACCTAGCTGCTACACATCTTATTAAGATTGTTTTTACACTCTCCTTTTCACGGATGGTGAAAGCGGAGATTTAATTGAATGATGGAGGTGGCTCTCAGAGGAAGGGGAAACCGGAAAGGGGATGGAGTGGAAGATAATCTTCCCCTAAAGTTTGGCCATCCCCATCCAAACTCCTCCCCAACCATTCAGCTGCCTCTTTGACATTCAGATGCTTCTTCTCTTCTCTCCTTCTCTGCTGTGCTGCTTTGCTCCTCTGCCAATGGAGTCTGGGGATTTTATGGGTACAAGATGGGCGTGGTGGGCCAGGATGGTTTTGGAAAAGCAACATTCATCCAGGAAAATAGGGACGAGAAGTTCTCATTTAGGGCCACAGGCTCAGGCTTGTGAGCAGGGCCTTTGCTGGGGAACCACCCTCCTCTACCCAATATTTCCCTGCCTTCTGTTCATATAATTTGTGCAAATCTTCAGGTCATAATCCCATGAAGCCAACTCTGGCCAGAGGAGCCTGAGGTTATCTATTCCCAAAGCTTACATGCATTTACATAAAGATTGACCTGAGGACATTTTCCAACACATAAAATCACCCCATAATATGTAGAAAGAAAAGCTGATAATATTGGTGGAGAAATGCAAAAACTGCTTAGGCTTTGCATTTCTCTGAATCTCGATCTGCAAAAAGACAGAAGGAAAAAAGAAGGAAGATGTAATAAATGTGAAATGTGGATATGCCCTAATATATACTTCTATAATAGCTCATATAAGAACATTTTTATTTGACAAAATAAAGGTAAATAATAATCAGTCCTTGTTCCAAATAAATAAATAGTTTGGTGAGAAAGAAAGATTAAAAAAAAAAAAACCAGACAGCTTGGCTTACATTTTTTTTAAGTTCTATGATAGAGGCTGCTCAGAATGCTGATAAGATAGAAGAGAGAAGGGGACCTAACACAGACTTTGTGGGTAGGAACCTGAATCTGGAACCAATACCCTAAAGACTATCCTATATTATTTTATTTTGCCCTTTCTTCTCACTTCATCATCCTTTTCTTTCATTCATAATCCGTAATATTAATAGTGCTCTGGTAATCTGACGGTTTCATTATTTGTTTCACATTCAGATTATATGACTCCAGGAAACAAGAAATTGTTTGTTTAGATGCAAGCAACTGTTGGGGCTCAGCAAGTATATGTTGGATGAGAGATAACTGAGTGAGATGGGAGCCAAAGGTCAATAAACATTATCAGGGCAAGTAGTGGAATATATAAATCCATAGTTTCACAGAAAATGTAAAGACGTGGAGGGATGAGAAGAAATGATAATAAATAATAAATACAACGTATCTCACGTATCTCACTGTAGCTGAGATATATGCATGCAGTAGAAAGGAGAGTGTAAAAACAATCTTAATAAGATATGTAGCAGCTAGATATTGAAATGGATCCATGTATCTGCCTGTATTCTGGGTTACAAACAACAGAATACATGTTGCTATCTGATTATTAGAGGAAAATTAAATGTTCACAGAATCAAGGAGCAATTGAAGAATCAGACTTTGAAAATAGTCCAAAAACAAGGCTGTTATTTTTTGTTAAAATGAAGGAACAATAACCTTTTACTTTTTAGCAGAAAAGTTCTCTTCAGTATGCTGTTTTTACTATTCCAGGAAAAGTAGAAAACACTACTACTTCTACATAGTGCTAGCACTGTCCCAGAGCACCCAAATCAATCATTTATCTCCCTGTCACTTGTTTCAAATGTAATCTCAGGTGTGACAGTTCATTAAATAGAATCTACTTCTCATGAATGAGCCCTAGTAACCAGGTCTGGCAGAAAGAAAATAGCTCCAATTTGACTATTGTAGTTGGAGGTAGGGCATTATAGCTTATCAACATTTCAAACAAATGTGAATTAATCACAAAATTTGGGGGTTAGAGAGTCAAATGTGTGGCAAAACTGATTAAAGATTTTCTAAGGAGGTCATTTTTTTTTTTTTTAGTAAAAACAAAACAAAAACCTGCACAACAACCTCAACAGTAACAAAATGGAAAGTCACTGGGATATTTCAAGTATGAGAGTAACATGACCTCATTTGTGATTCAAAATGATTACTTGAATATCATTGTGGAAAATATATTGGAATGAAACAACAATAAAAAGACGACTTAATAGGCTTTCATAGTAATTCAGGTACGAAATTGTTGCAGGAAGTCAGGGACTCCAAGCGGAGGGACCGGCTGAAGCCTCGGCAGAAAAACATAAATTGTGAAGATTTCATGGATGTTTATTAGTTCCCAAAATTAATACTTTTATAATTTCTTACACCTGTCTTACTTTAATCTCTTAATCCTGTCATCTTCATAAGCTGAGGACGTATGTCGCCTCAGGACCCTGTGATGATTGCGTTAACTGTACAAATTGTTTGTAAAGCATGTGTGTTTGAACAATATGAAATCTGATTGTAAAACATGGGTGTTTGAACAATACGAAATTCCCAGCAAGGAATATTAATACCCTGGGAAAGGAATGCATTCCCAGGGGTAGGTCTATAGATGGTCACTCTGGGAGTGTCTGTCTTAGGCGGTTGAGTAAAGGACTGAAATATGCCCTGATCTCCTGCAGTACCCTCTGCCTTACTAGGATTTGGAAATTCCAGCCTGGTAAATTCTAGTCAGATCGGTTGTCAGCTCTTGAACCCTGTTTCCTGTTAAGATGTTTATCAAGACAATGTGTGCCCAGCGGGACATGGACCCTTATCAGTAATTCTAATTTCACCCTTGCCTTGTGATCTTGCTCTGCCCTTTGCCTTGTGATCTTTTATTGCCCTTTGAAGCATGTGATCTCTGTGACCTACTCCCTATTTGTACACACCCTCCCCTTTTGAAATCCCTAATAAAAACTTGCTGGTTTTGCAGCTCGAGGTCGCCATCATGGTCCTACCAATATGTGATGTCACCCCCGGAGGCCCAGCTGTAAAATTTCTCTCTTTGTACTCTTTCTCTTTATTTCTCAGACCAGCTGACACTTAGGGAAAATAGAAAGGACCTACATTGAAATATTGGGGGCTGGTTCCCCCAGTAGGAAATTACAGGAAGTTTACTAGGCCCAAGCAGAAGCTGTGGAGATGAAGAAAATATGTTACTGATATAAACTGTATGTCAGTGACTGTATGGTAAAAATACAATGTGATAGTTAAGAGCAATAAGAAGAATTTCAAGATGACTCCCAGGTTTCTGGCTTGAGAAGGAATGCGAGGTAGGTTTAATATCCAAAACCCAATTTTGATAGTTAGTTTTATGTCAACTTCACTGAATCATGGATTGCCTGGATATCTGGTCAAACCTTATTTTTGGATGTGTCTCTTACAGTTAGTTAGATAGTCAATGAGAGGGGTAGAAGAGGGCTCTCCCCCACCCACTAGGAATGTTGGGTGACAGTTTAGCAATGATTGCATTTCCTCTTTTAAAATGAGAATTCAGTAGCCAGGGAGAGGCCATTTCCTGATGGATTACATCCGTTAACACCAAAATGTTAATTGAAGGTAGGCCCCAGGGAGCATGCGTGTTAACAGACAAAATGGTGAAGATATTCTAGGGACACACTAACCCGGAAAAGGAAAGAAAACCTCTGATGGGCATGCATATAACTTCCTAAAATACACTGCATGTGCTCAACTCCAAAGCGTAAGGAGAGCACTTAGCATGCAGGAAGCACACCTGAAAAGAAGAATCCTGGAAAAGGGGCAAGCCTATAAAGTCCTAGGATCAAGGTTAAATGCCCATTTTTGTCCACTTGGGTCTCTTGCAAGCAAATTTTCCTTTCTTTCCTGTTCAAAAGCCTTTTAAAATAAACTTTGTCTCCTGCCTTGGAACTTGCCTTGGTCTCTTTTTCTGCTATATGCCCCTCAGTATAATCATTTCTTCTGAAGAGGCAAAACTGAAGTTGCTGCAGACCTGTATGGATCCACCACCAGTAACTCAGGGTAACTCGAATCTCTGCCACCACTAGCATGTCTGAGAGGGTGCTTCTTGGAGATATTAGTATTTAAATTGATAGACTAAACATGTGGATTTGCATCTCCTTTGTGGGTGGGCATCATCTAATCCATTGAGAGCCTGAATAGAACAAAAAGGTGGAGGAAGGGAGGATTTGTTTTCTCTCACTCTGCCCAAAAACTTGAACTAGAACACTGATCTTCTCTTGCCCTTGCTGCCCCTAGTTTTCAGGCTTTCATACTTGGACTGAAATCTATACCATTGGTTCTCTGACTCTCAAGACTTTGAACCACGCTACTGGCCTTTCTGCATCTCTAGCTTGCAGACAGTAGATCATGGGACTTCTCAGTCACTATAATCATGTGAGCCAATACTTTACAGAAAATACAATAAAGCAGTATCTTGCTGCTTGTGTTTCTCTGGAAAATTCTAAGTAATACAGCAACCAATAGAATTTTAAAAAACACAAGATCATTTCCTCATTTCCAGTATAGGAAGACAAAGCATTTGACAAAATTCATGAACCCTTCGTATTAAAAGCAGTAGTAGAGATGAAAAAAGAAACTTTATCAAACTGACTAAAAGCATGTATAAAAATTTGATAGCTGACATCATACTTATCTGTGAAAGACTGAATTTTTACCAGAAAGATCAGGGATAAGATGAAGATGGCCATACTCTCCACTCTTATTACACATTGGATTAGAATTTTCAGTCAGATAAACTAGGTAACAACAACAACAAAAGAGTGGAGACCAAAATTGGAAGGGAAAAGTACAACTATCTTTATTTGTTAATTGCATTATGGTTTATATATGAAATCCCAAGGAATCCACTAACAACTATTACACCTAATAAACAAGTTTAGCAAGGTTAGGATCCAAGATCAATACATAGAAGTCAATTGCATTTTTATATACTTCCAAGAAATAATAAAAAAAAATTTAAAAAATTCAATTTTGAAAAGCAGCAAAAAGAATAATATATAGAGACATAAATTTAAAAAATAAATGCAAGACTTGTACACTAAAATGTGTAAAACATTATGAAAAGAAATTAAAGATTTCTTTTCCTAAAAATATGGAAAGAATTCCAGGTAAATGTATCAGAAGTCTTAATGTTGTTAAAATAACAATAATCCCAAATTAGTCTGCAGATTAAATACAATCTGTCTCAAAATTCTAGCTGGAGAAATTTAGAAATTTACATTTACAAAATAATACAGGAGCTAGAAACAAATTATTTAGGCAGACAGTGAGGGCAACAGAGTCCTCAGCAGAGCTTCCCTTCTGAAAAAAAAAAAGCAGCCCCCACAAAACATGTCTTTTCTAACAAGAAGCAGCCTGAAAAATCGAGCTGCAAACATAGATAAGCCAACTGGAGGTTTTCACAAGGGAATGCCAGCAGGTGTGCCAATAGAAAAGGGCTACCTGGGGGCCAGGAATGTCCAACATGAAGGCTGCATCATCCCTTTTTCTTTTTTTGTTACCAGGTGTACAGTAAGGAATGGGCAGCATGATACAGCTCAGGCAGAGAACCCACCTACATTGTAAAAGATTACAATGGAGGCAGCCAGAAATTCATGCCCTATGCAAACTGGACACCTACTCCTAACCAGTTTTTCATGCCCTATGCAAATGGCACACCTGTTCCAACCAGTCTTTTATGCCCTATGTAAATAAGACACCATCTCCTCAGCAGCTCATCTATAAAATCCCCTGCATTTTGCCATGGACTGGCAACCCATTTTTCTCGGACCCCTCTCTGCAGCAGAGAGCTATTCTCTTTTTTTCACACATTAAACTTCTGCTGTCAGCCTGATAGTTTGTGTGTCCACATCCTTGTTTTCCTTGGCAATGGTACAAAAAACCTTGGGTGTTACGCCAGACAATGAGGTTGTTTCAAAAATAATCCTAAAATGTATCGTAAATTCTCAAGAACTCACTATTGCTTAAATATTCTTGATAGAAGAACAAATTTGGGAGAAAACACATTTTCTAATTTCAAAACTGACTACAAAACTAAAGTAAAATACTAACACAAGAGTAGACAAATAGATCAATGGAACACAACTGAGAGTCCATAAATAAACCCTCAAATTTTGCTCGAATGATTTTTGGCAAAGGTTTCAAGACAATTCAATGTCGGAATGAATTGTTCTTTTAACAAATGGTGCCAAGTCTAGATATACACATGTAAAACAATGACTCCAATCCCTACTCCGCACCATATATAAAATTAACTTAAATTAGATCAAAAGTCAAAAAATAAGACCAAAAACTACAAAAATCTTAGAAAAAAACATACACATATATTTTCTTGAACATGAATTAGGCAATGATTACTTAGAACGATTTTAAAACATAAGTAATAATTACAACAAAAATATAAATTCTTCCTCATAATTAAAATGTTTTTGTTCTTCAAAGAACACCATTAAGAAAGTAAAAAGACAACCCACTAATTGGGAGAAAATATTTGAAAATCATTTCTGTTAAGGAACTTTTATCTTGAATATATAAAGGATTCTTCGAATTAAATAATAATAAATAAAATGAAAAAATAAGCATGCTATCTGAATAGTCATTTCTCAAAAGAAGACATGAAAATGGTCAATAAGCACAGGAAAATGTTCAACATTATTATTTACCAAGGAAATGTAAATCTAAACTACCATATCCTATCACTTCACGACCAGTTGAATGACTATATTCCAAAGACAAAATAAAGAGTGTTGTGAGGATGTAGAGAAATTTGAGCCCTTATACACCACTTGTGGGAATGTAAAATGGTGCATCTACTTGGGCAATGCAGTTCCTCTAAATGTTAAACATATAATACCCTGTGGCCCAGCAATTCCACTTCTAGGCACATACTCAAAAGAAATAAAACATTACTTCCACACGAAGCTTGTACACAAATATTCATAGCCATAATAGCCAAAAGTGTAAATGACCATCAAACGTCCATCAAATAATGAATGGATAAATAGAAAGTGGCTTATTTCTACAATAAAATATTATTTAGCAATAAAAAAATGGAGTATCCATACGTACTCCAACATGGATGAACCTTGACAACATTATTATAAGTGAAATATGCCACTCACAAAAGAGCACATGTTGTATTATTCTACTCATATGAAATGACCAAAACAGGGAAATCATTAGAATCACAAAGAAGCTAAGTGGTTGCCTGAAGCTAAACAATGATGGGAAAGCGTGGAAGGAAATGAGGAGTAACTGCTAATGGGTATAGAATTACTTTTTAAAGTTAGGAAAATGTTTTAAAATACATTGTGGTAATCATGGCACGAAGTCATGAATATACTAAAAACCACTGCATGATACATTTTAAATGGGCAAATTGTATATAATATGAATGTATCTTGATGAAGCTGTTACTAACGAACAAAGAGCCTGTAGTCTCAGCTACTCAGGAAGCTGAGATGGGAGTTTTGCTTGAGCCCAGGAGTTCAAGATCAGCCTGGAAAACAGTGAGACCCTCTCTAAAAAAAAACAAAAAACAAAACAAAACAAAAAAACAATGTTCAGAAGTGGTCACCTAGTATTAGAATAATAAAATACATATTTAAAAAAAGGATGCTACAAGCTGTCTGTTATCTCTATCTCAATTAATATTTACACTTTAGAATATGAGGAAAAATTTTATTAGTAAAATAGAGCAGCCTGTTAATCAACATAGTAAGTGTTAGAAAGAAGCTGTTTGTGAGGTTAATGTAATTTATAAATGTAGATTGTAAAAATAAATTTGTGATGCTCTTGTCAGAGGCATTTGAACCAGAGTGACTCCATCTTGAATAGGGGCTGGGTAAAATGAGGCTGAGACCTACTGAGTTGCATTTGTAGGAGGTTAGGCATTCTAAGTCATGGGATGAGATAGGAGGTCGGAATAAGATACAGGTCAAGAAGACCTTGCTGATAAAACAGGTTGCAGTAAAGAATCTGACCAAAACCAAGATGTCGAAGAAAGTGACTTCTAGTCATCCTCACTGCTCATTATATGTTAATTCTAATTCATTAGCATGCTAAAAAAAACTCTCCCACCAAGTCATGACAGTTTATAAATGCCACAGCAATATCAGGAAGTTGCCCTATATGGTCTAAAAAGGGAAGGAGCCCTCAGTTCAGGGAATTGCGCACTCCTTTACTGGAAAAACTCATGAATAATCTACACCTTGTTTAGCAGATAATCAAAAAATAACCATTAAAATTGCAAACCAGAAGCCCTTTGGACTGCTCTACCTACAGAGCAGCCAGTCTTTATTCCTTTACTTTCTTAATAAACTTGCTTTCACTTTACTCTATGGTTTTTGCCTTGAATTCTTTCTCACGTGAGATCCAAGAAGTATTCTTTGTTCCAGTAACACTCTCAGTGTTACATAAATTTAACAATTTTAAAAATCCTTATGAAACCTATACAGTTACTTGTGGGAGTGAGCTCTGAAGGCTTGAGACTTAAATGTTCCTGGGTCTAGCTACTTATTTAAGAGGTTTTCTTGTTTCCTGTTTCACAACATAAATATAATTGATTGAATTTGTCTTGTAAATGTTCTCCTTTCTGACTTAAGTACACCTTTCTGATAGGTGGTGGTCTATGATTCCAAAAAATAGAGGACAAACAGATGTTTGTTCAATAAAGTGCTACATATTGAGGCAAAATTCCTTCTGAGACTTGCTTTTATTTCAGTCTTCTTATATGGTACAATAGCAATCTACCTCAAAATATTTTGAAGGCAATCACTGTCTATTGTCAAATAAAATTACAAGAGACCATTGCTCTTGACTGATTTCTTGCACTAGGCTCCAACAGACCAAACCAAACTAAAATGGAAACACTTATGAATTTTGATGTAATCAAGCTGAAACTTCAAAAGACAAATCTAAAACTTACTAGTTTTTTTTTATTCTGTCTAGTAATACAAGGTTCCAACATAATAAGGAAGTCACCTCAGTGCTAACCCTCAAAAAAAGTAACCTGAAATAACCAATCAGTTTTTGTTGTTGTTCTGTTCCTTTGTTTCCACGTAACAAAACCTACTGTTTTGTTGTTTCCTGGTGAGAGTTGAGACCAAATATGTCCAGTATGATGGTGACAGAGTGACATCAATGCCTAAAGTTTTAGTTAATCTTTCAAAATTGAGAGGTTGACCAAAAGGGAAAAATTGTTAAATTTTAATTTAGCCTAACATTGCCTCCTTACATATTTTAAGTTCTGCCTAAAGATTTCTCCATACGCAACAAGATATAACCTAAATAGATACATAAACAGACTATAACATACTCTTATACCAATCCCAGGGTTTTATCCAATCGTAGGAAGTCAACTGTTTAAACCAGGTTTCAAATAAGACAGATGCTGAGCTATAACCAATCCAATTATTTCTATATCCCACTTTTCCTTTTTATATGTCACTTTCCTTCTGTCTATAAATGTTATCCAACCATGTGGCAGCCTCAGAGTCACTCTAAACCTATGGTGGTTTCCAGGGCTGCCTGATTCACAAATCATTGTATTAGTTCATTTTCATGCTGCTGATAAAGACATACCTGAGACTAGGCAATTTACAAAAGAAAGAGATTTATTGGGCTTACAGTTCCACAGGCTGGGGAGGCATCACATTCATGATGGAAGATGAAAGGCACATTTCACATGGCAGTAGACAAGAGGAGAGAGCTTGTGCAGGGAAACTCCCATTTTTAAACCATCAGATCTCATGAGACTCATTCAATATCACAAGAACAGCATAGGAAAGACCTGCCCCCATAATTCAATCACCTCCCACTGGGTTCTTCCCAAATATGTGGGAATTGTGGGAGTTACTATTCAAGATGAGATTTGGGTGGGGACACAGCCAAACCATATCATTCCAGCCGTGGCCCTTTCCAAATCTCATGTCCTCACATTTCAAAACCAATCATGCCTTCCCAACAGTCCCCCAAAGTCTTAACTAATTTCAGCATTAACCCACAAGTCCACAGTCCAAAGTCTCATCTGAGACAAGGCAAGTCCCTTACACCTATGAACCTGTACAATCAAAGGCAAGTTAGTTACTTCCTAGTTACAACAGGGATATAATCATTGGGTAAATACACCCATTCCAAATGTAAAAAAAAAAAATTGGCCAAAGCAAATGAACTACAGGCCCCATGCAAGTCTGAAATCTATCAGGGCAGTGAAATCTTAAAGCTCCAAAATGATCTCCTTTGACTCTATGTCTCACATGCAGGTCATGCTGATGCAAGAGGTGGGTTTCCATGTTCTTGGGCAGCTCCGCCCCTGTGGCTTTGCAGGGTACAGCCTCCCTCCTGGCTGCTTTCACAAGCAGGCATTGAGTGTCAGTGGCTTTTCCAGGCACATGATGCAAGCTGTCAGTGGATCTACCATTGCAGGGTCTGGAGGACAGAGGCCCTCTTCTCACAGCTGCATTAGACAGTGCCCCAGTAGGGAGTCTTTGTCAGGGCTCCAACTCCACATTTCCCTTCTGCACTGCCCTAACAGAGGTTCTCCATGAGAGCCCTGCTCCTGTGGCAAACTTCTGTCTGGACATCCAGGTGTTTCCACACATCCTTTGAAATCTAGGTGGAGGTACCCAAACCCCAATTCTTGACTTCTGTGCACTAGCAGACTCAACACTATGTGGAAGCTGCCAATACTTGAGGCTTGCACTCACTGAAGCCATGGTCTGAGCTCTATGTTGGCTCCTTTCAGCCATGGCTGGAGTGGCTGGGACACAAGGCACCAAGTCCCCAGGCTGCACACAGCACAGGGACCCTGGGCCCAGCCCCCCAAAAATAATTTTTCCTCCTAGGACTCTGGGCCTGTGATGGGATGGGCTGCTGTGAAGACCTCTGACATGCCCTGGAGACATTTCCCCATTGACTTGGGGATTAACATTCAGCTCCTCATTACTTATGCTAATTTCTGCAGCTAGCTTGAATTTCTCCCCAGAAAATGGGATTTTCTTTTCTATGGCATTGTCAGGTTGCAAATTTTCCAAACTTTTATGCTCTGCTTCCCTTATAAAACTGAATGCCTTTAACAGCACCCAATTCACCTCTTGGATTCTTTGCTGCTTAGAAATTTCTTCCGCTTGATAACCTAAATCATCTCCCTTAAGTTCAAAGTTTCACAAATCTCTAGGGCAGAGGCAAAATGCTGCCAGTCTCTTTGCTAAAACATAACAAGTGTCACCTTTGCTCCAGTTCCTAACAAGTTCCTGATTTCATCTGAGACCACCTCAGCCTGGACTTTATTGTCGATACCACAATCAGCATTTTGGGCAAAGCCATTCAACAAGTCTCTAGAAGTTCCAAACTTTCCCATATTTTCCTGTATTCTTCTGAGCCCTCCAAACTGTTCCAACCTCTGACTGTTACCCAGCTCCAAAGTTGCTTCCACATTTTCAGGTATCTTATCAGCAGCGCCCCAATCTACTGGTACCAATTTACTGTATTAGTTTGTTTTCACGCTGCTAATAAAGACCTACCTTAGACTGGGCAATTTATAAAAGAAAGAGGGTTATTGCACTTACAGCTCCATGTGGCTTGGGAGGCCTCACAATCATGGTGGAAGGTGAAAAGCACATCTCACACGGCAGCAGACAAGAGAAGAGAGCTTGTGCAGGGAAACTCCCATTTTTAAAAATCATCAGATCTCATGAGACTCATTCACTATCATGAGAATGGCGCAGGGAAGACCCGATCCCATAATTCAATGACTTACCACCAGGATCCTCCCATGACATGTGGGAATTGTGAGAGCTACAATTCAAGATGAGATTTGGCTGGGAACACAGCCAAACCATATGATCATTCTCTGCTAAATTAAACTCTATTAAATTTAATTTGTTTACTTTTTCTTGTAACACTATCCAAATAATCTAAACTGTATGTAGCTAAACAAGTTTGGTTTATTCCCATAGATTGTAGATGGTCTAATTGAAGACTGCAGAAATCAAAAAGATGCAGATAAAATGCATAAAGTGTTTGTTTTAGAACCCAAGAGAAAAGAAATTGCTAAGGTGCAGGAAGTGATTATTAATGGGTTAGTGATATCAGATCTAAAATATCTCCACCTGGTTTAAAAGTCTGAATAATATTGATGTCTAAGTCATTTATAATTTTTCAAGATGAAATTAAAGGCAAGTTTAAAAAGTGATTCTACAAGTTTATATTTCTATATATACAGTCATATACATATATATACATGTACATTCACACACACACAGCGTATACACACACAGAGTCATGTTCCACATAACATTTCAGTTAACAACAGACGGCATATACAGCAGGAGTCCCATAAGATTATATGGAGCTGAAAATTTTCTATTGCTTAGTGAAGATGTAGCTGCTCATGCGTTTGTTGTGATGCTGGTATAAACAAATTGTGCTTCTAGGGGTGTAAAAGTACAGTATAGCATATATAATTATACATAATACATAATACTTAATAATTACAATAAATGACTATGTTACTGGCTTACACATTTACCAATTTACTTTACTATACTTTTTATCAGCATTTTAGTGTGCATTCTTTCTACTTACGTAACTTCATATATATATATAAATATATTAATATATATAAATAAACAGACTATTCTGCCACATAACATTTCAGTAAACAATGGAGTGCATACACAGTAGTGGTCTCCTAAGATTATAATGGAGCTGAAAAATTAATGTGTATATATAATTAAATTATAAATAAAGACATTTATATACAATTTTATATATGTGTACACACACACACATATATATGAAGAGTTGACTGTAAAACAAAATCAGGCAGTTTTCTAGAAGAAGGCATTATCATAGGGGACGGCAGCTCCATGCATGTTATTGTCCTAAAGAGCTTCCAGTGGAACAAGATGTGAAGGTGGAGGACAATGATATCCATGATCTTGACTCTGTGTAAGGCTGGGCTAATATATGTATTCATGACTTAGTTTTTAAAATTTATGAAGTTAAAAAAGAAGAAACATAATTAGAAGAGCACTTATAGAATAAGGATACAAAGAAAGAAAACATTTTTGTAAAGTTGTATGATGTGTTTGTTTTTTAGCTAAGTGTTATTATAGAAAGTTTTTAAAAAGTTTACAAAGTAAAATTTTACATTAATCAAAGGTTACTTTATTGATGAAGACAATATATTTTATCAGTTTAGTGTAGCTTAGGTGTATGCTGTTTACAAGATCTACAGTAATGGACAGTAATGTCCTGGGCCTTCACATCATGCACCACTCACTCATTGATCACTCAGAGCAACTCCCAGTCTCGCAAGTTCCATTTGTGGTATGTGCCCCATAAAGGAGTGCCATTTTTTATCATTTATACTACATTGTTACTGTATCTTTTCTATGTTTATATATGTTTAGATACACAAATATTTACCATTTTGTTCTAATTACCTACAGTATTCAGTAGAGTAATGTGCTGTACAGAGTTGTAGCCTAGGAACAATAGGCTACACTGTATAGCCTAGGTGTGTAGTAGGCTATACTGTCTAGGTTTGGATAAGTATATTGTAAGACATTCACACAATGATAAATTGTGTAATAATGTATTTATCAGAGCATATCCCTGTCATTAAGTGGTTCCTGATTCTGTGTGTGTGTGTATGTTTCTATTAACATCTCAAGTCATAATAGGTTTTCATTATTTCGTATAAAGAAAATTTTGTGCTAATAGGTCAAGTTTTCCACTCTTAAAATGTTTAGTTTCACTTCATCTTTTATTTAAATCATGGATGAATTAAAATATATGAATTTATGATCTTATATTCTGCATTATAAAGGTCTATACAATATATTAGCAAACACTAATCTCAGAGGAATAAATTATATTATCTACACAAGTTTGAGCAACTTAATTTGAACAAATGTCTCTGCCAAAAACAAACAAACAAACCTCTTCCAGCTTAAAGGAATACAGAATTTTTATATTAGAACATTTTTTCTTAATGAATCAATCACATCTTATAATCAAGAAAACATACTAGCTGATCATTAAATTTTGAAAAGCATTTTTAAAATATATACTGTCAACTAAAGTAACTAATTCTGAATTAAATTTAGTCTTATTGTTTAATCTTCCTTAAAATTATAGTGGGCCTCTTAATCCAAAATCTAGTTATACAAGCAAGGCTTTCAGTATGCACTAGAGTAAAAAAGTAAAAAGAAACATGCAAAAATTGCTCAATTTTAGAGTCTCTGTTCATAAGTTGAGTGATGATGAAATTTTGTAAGATCACACGCACATTGACACAGCTCTTCAGTTAACAAATGTATGACTTCAGAGAGGTTAAGTGCCTATTCTCAGTTTTATCATCTGGTTGTGATATTTGGATAACAAAATGGATTACATTAGTCTTGCAGTATACAATTGATTCAGCTCAGCCATTTGTAACTTTCTAATATTTATTCCATACTTATATGAGGACTGTCTGTTATGATGTCTGCAATTTAACTAAAAACACTTTAACATAGAAAATACTGCATTATATATGTTTTAGTTTAATTTAAGCTATATTCTTGAGGGAGTCAGATACACTAATCAGGACGTCATGGCTAAGTGGGGTGAGGTAGCATTTAATCAGAAAGTCCAAAGAGTGGTTATTAGAAGTAGTTGTTTTTATTTCCCATCAATATTACTGCTAGTATCATTGATTACAGAAATGGTCTCTCATTGGGTAAAAAGGAAAGTGTCTCAAAAATATTTTAGGAAATTGACCAAAATGTTTTGGAGATACCCACCACCCTTAGAAAAAGGGAGGCATAAGAATCTTTCATATTATTTTCCTTCCAGGATAATGCCTGATGTTGAATTTTTCAACTGACCTGTGCTAACAGGCTTCCAGTTGTTAACAGAATTCTGCATCCAGGGTATTCTTTATTTGCCTCTTCTAAATCTTTCATTTAGTCTGATTGGTTACTTAAAATGGCATATATATGAGATAGAATTGAATCTATAGAGTGGATTATATGACCATTTTTGCATGTACTACCTAATAAATATTTGTGTAGCAGAATTTGGTGTAGATTTGCTACTACATAACTGGAAAGAACAAATATGAGGTAAATTAACCCCCATCTAAATCTGCCCATTTATGATGGTAAATTATCTAAAAAGTATTTTCTAGAAGTAACTCATATTCGTACCTTACCAAATATCCCTAAGTTAGTTCTCAATTTGATCACAATGAATACAATTCATTTGGCAAAATTTTTCTCCACTCCAATATTAAATGTGTAATTTCAAGAGACATGTTCAAGTCATTTTTGTAGCTCAGCACCAAGTAAGGCACGAGAAGAACAGAAGAAACTTTGCTGATGTTTGTTTTGGATTAAAGGAGTACATTGTCATCTATGCAAAGATAATGAGGGATAAAAACTTTGTGATTTGCTATAAAAAACATAAAAATGAGAATAAAATAATTGTTGTCATAGAGTTCCTAATATATATCAGATATTTTGTTGTATTTTCCATCTATTTTGTTATTTGTTCCTCATCACCACGAACAGCCCCACCCCATCTAATTTAGGTATTTATACTTAAATGAATTAAGTAGAATTCTCAAAATATAAATCCAAGTAATATGGCTGGGCTGTGTCCCCACCCAAATCTCATCTAGAATTGTAATCCAAATTGTAATCCCCATGTGTTGAGGGAAGGACCTGGCAGGAGGTGATTGGATCATAGGAGTGGAGAAGAAATTTCTAAGCAGCAAAGTGTTCAAGATGTGGTCTGGGTGCTCCTAACAGTATACAGCTATATGCTCTGAGTGCTCCTAACAGTATACAGCTATATGCAGTCACAAAGAGTTGGTATGAAATATGTCTAAAGGGGAAGTAGAGCATAAAAGTTTGGGAAATTTGCAGCCTAACCATGTGGTAGAAAAGAAAAACCCATTTTCTGGGGAGAAATTCAAGTCAGCCACATACATTTGCATAAGTAATGAGACACTGAATGTTAATTGCCAATACAATGGGAAAAGTATCTCCAGGGTGTCTTCACAGCAGCCCCTCCCATTATAGGCCCAGAGGCCTAGGAAGGAAAAATGGTTTCTTGGGCTGGGCCCAGGGCCCCCCATTACCGTGTGCAGCCTAGGGACTTGGTACCTCATGTTCCAGCCACTCCAGCTCCAGCCATGGCTAAAAGGGGCCAAGGTACAGCTCAAGTGATTGCTTCACAGGGTGCAAGCCCCAAGCATTGGCAGCTTCCATGTGGTGTTGGGCCTGCAGGTGCACAGAAGAGAAGAGTTGAGCTTGAGAGCCTCTGCCTAGATTTCAGAGGATGTATGGAAATGCCTAGATGTCCAGGTAGAAGTCTACTGCAGGGGCAGAGCCCTCATGGAGAACCTCTACTAGGGCAATGTGGAAAGAAAATGTGGGGTTGGAACCTCCATACAGAGTTCTCACTGTCCAGTGGAGCTGTGAGAAGAGAACCACTGCCCTCCAGACCCCGGAATAAGATTGACTGACAGCTTGCACTATGTTCCTGTAAAAGCCACAGACTCTCAACACTAGCCTGTGAAAGTAGCTGCAGAGGCTGTACCCTGCAAAGCCACAGGGGCAGAGATGCCCATGGCCTTGGGAGCCCACCTCTAGCATGAGCACACGTTCAGTGCGAAACATGGATTCAACAGAGGTTATTTTGGAGTCTTAATGTTTAATGACTACCCTGTTGGCTTTCAGACTTGCTTTGGGCCTGTATCCACATTGTATCTTGGAAGTAACTAACTGGCTTTTGATTTTATAGGCTCATAGGCAGAAAGGACTTGCCTTGTATCAGATAAGACTCTGGACTTGGACTTTTGAGTTAATGCTGAAATGAGTTAAGAATTTCAGGGACTGTTGGGAAGGCATGATTGGTTCTGAAATGTGAAAAGGACATGAGATTTGGGAGGGGCCAAGGGCAGAATAATATGGTTTGAAAATGTCCCTACCCAAATTTCACCATGAATTGTAATCTAAATTGAAATCCCCATGTGTTCGGGGAGGGATCTGGTTGGAGGTGATTGGATCATGGAGGCAGTTTTCCCCATGCTGTTCTCATGATAGTGAGTTCTCATGAGATCTGGTTGCTTGATAACTGTCTGGCACTTCCCCTGTGTGCTCTCTCTCTCCTGCCACCATGAGAATATGTGTCTTCTTTTCCCTTCAGCTTCCACCATGATTATAAGTTTCCTGAGCACTCCCCAGCCATGCAGAACTGTGAGTCAACTAAGCCTTTTTTTCTTTATAAATTACCCAGTTCAGGTAGTATCCTTATAGCAGTGTGAAATGGACTAATATACCAAATGTACTGAATTACCAAAACCTATGTTTCAACCCTGCGTCCTTAATTCATTTTCCACTTTGCTATAATCAACATAGTGGATTTATGCAATGGATTTACCCAGTTAACTCAACTTGATGGGGTATGATTACGGGATTATCTTTTCCCCCATTCTTTTTCTGTAACAGTTTCATGTCAACCTATTTTTTCGTCAATAGGCAGAGGATCATTTAATTATATCTAGATCATAGCCCATAATTTCCTGTCCACTTCAGTTACTAAAATTTTATTCAGTTTTAAGCTCTAAATACTTTTCTGGTTCTCAAAACGTCCCCTGTCCCCCTCCCCTCATTGCTGATCAACTTGTCCTTCAAGTACATGAAGAAAGGAAGAGGATATGCAATGCACCTCTATTCCTTTCCCCTCTAATCCTGGAAGAAAGGTTGCCAGCTGGATCTGGTCATAGATTAACTCTATATTGTTTTAAGTTAAATTGCTTTAGTATTGGAGGAGGCTTGGAGGCAGATGAGAGGAAAAGAAATGAGTCTTTCATTAAACAATTCAGCTGGTTGCTGGATGTATTGCTTCTTTGGTTAATGTGTACTGGACTAATGCTCCCCTAGGTAGCAGACAGAACACTCTATTCCAGACCACAACTCAAAATTACTTTCATTGCTTCTGCTTGTGTAATATTTAGATTACCAGACTGTAGGCCACCATCTCTGAATAAGCATTAAGTGCCTGCAACCAATTTTTGTAGCTCCTAGTATATCTCTCTTTATAAAAGAAGGCATTATAAACCTCAGGTTTGAGCTACAATTACATTGGGAAGTGATAAGAATAATCTTCCCACACATTATCTTACACGTGTGTATCAGTGATAATATGTGAGATTATTTTTATGTAATACATAAAAGAGCACTTAAAATTTTTTAATAACGTATCAATTTTAATACATATTAAATAACATCAATTTTAATACATATTAAAATAAATATAATTGGCATAGAAAACTCATGATTTCATGAAAACATTATTTTGGAATGAACCTAACTTTGAAAAGTAAGTTAATTTAGTTTCAGTTTTAAAAAAAAAACTAATAAAGTATCAGTAGAGGTAGTACTTAAATATGACAAGAAGGTGTCATATAAAGATGACATGTAAATAAAACCCAAGTTTGTTTTAAAGTAAATCCAAATAGAAGACTTTATTTCCATTAGTAAAAAAAAAAAGCCAATTGAGCTATTGCATCTTTAATCAGGCAAACTAGAAACATATTGTTTACAAATTGAAGTTATAAACGCATACTCAACTATTTTATTAGAATAGACTGATAGTTTCTGGCAACTGGTGTGATTCAATACCTCAGGCTAATACTCAACACAAGTTTACTCTGAAAAGTCTATCATAACAGAGACACAGAGAGTGTAATGTTTTCTTTTAATCTTCCAAAATTTTCAATTACAAAATTATCAAATTATTTAATGAGCTCTGATCAGTAACTCAAAGCTTAGTAGTATGATATCACCTCATTCTTACGGAAAGTGTAAGTGTACTTATCAATGTTGCTTCAGAGGCATGAATGGAGTATCTCTGATTTGCAAAGCACAATTTCTGATACACCGGGAATACAAACATAAATCAATCAGAGTGCTTATCTTCAAGGGTATTTACAATATTATAGGAAAAAAGAGACAAGATGAAACATAATTACATAGAAGAGCGCAGTACAGAGGGCTGATGGAAACTAAAATGGACACATGGAATATAAATATTATTATAACATGTTGTGCATTTATTTTTCATTCCAAGATAGTTAGGAACAAAAGAGACACCTATCCTGGGTATAAACACAAATGATATAGAAGAATCTAAGGAGTGTTGATAGAAATAACCTGACCTGAGTTTGAAAAATGACTTAAAATGGGTACATGTGACTTAGAAAAGATACAAAGGATGGTAAGACCACTGGCTTCAGGAATTCACATAGCTCTCATGGAGAAATAAAATCAAATAGTTCTTCCTATATTAGGACAAATTAATGGGTTTAAGAAATTCATGACCTGGCTTAATAGCAGAGCTGTCCAGAAATGTAACATTCTGCTTTGAGAAAGTAATAGATTCTGTAACCTAAATAGATTCAAACGAAAAATGAATGACTACAGAAGGATAGGCACAATGTCACAGGGTGATTCGGGCAGAAATAACAGTGTGGTCCTGATGACTCCTAAAGTCTATCCACATGTTTGGTACTATAATATCTCAGTAGTACAGCAGATAAACAAAAAGATTTTCATCTGGAGTTCTCATATGCATTTGTTTTTGGAATGTAGGTTGGCGTAAATACCACAATCTAACAGCGCCAAAGTAGGCTTTTTCGCACACAGTAGGAAATCATCAAGACTGAAGCGCAATGAACAAAATCACATAGAATGAATACAGTGCATTTATTGGGATGCAGATAGAAATAGTTTGAATTCATATGTTTATGTATACGTGTATGTGAATATTCTGTGTGGGCAGGAAAATAATGCCTTCTGAAGTGGTAATGTAATTTGGTCACATACCTAGTTATAAATATTTATCATAAACCTTGATAAATATAAGGTAGGTTCAAAATAAACTCTGAAATTTTCAAAAAGCACACAGCTTGTAGTACAAAATATGAAAAATTTTGTGGAAGGACAATAAAGGAAAATTATGTTAAAAACCATTGAGTGAGTTTTGTAAACCAGAGTAAGGAAACATTTCTGCCAAAGGCAACTGACCTCAATGAATCTGAAATGTACTTTTAAAATACGTTTACTCTAGACAAAAGAGAACAAGATGAATGTCAGAAAACAAGCTATGTGACACATAATGAATAAGGAATAAAGATGTCAGACTATTCTGAAGTATTGAAATAAAAATTTTATCTGAACAATTCTCATAAGAAAGCAAACTTAGATTGATACTTTGTGAATAAATAAAAGTGGATTGGGGCGCTGGTTCAGCAATATAATGGGGGCTATAGTTAAACACAAACACATGTCTATAATATCAGAAAGCAACTCCTTGAGCACTTATTTGTTATAACATAAAAAATGCTAAAAATTCATTTTTGTACATCCTATGTATAACGGATTTAACCATATTATGGAATGGTGTTATAGAAATAAAATAAATGTAAACAAAAACAATCATCTATCAAATCTCACAGAGTTGAAGACTAACAAACTTGGTAATTTGGTCTCTTATCTCCTCTCATCTGTCAAATATGTTTAAATCTTTTAAAAAATATATTATCATACATAGAAGATTCAATAAATATGTTTGTAAAAATATTGATGGAATGAACACATGAATCATTAAATTACAACTTTTTCATTTGAGATACTGATGACCTGTATCTTGGCTTGTATACGTGATAATATCTCAAGTGATTTTTATTGTTTTATTTTATTTTATTTTATTTATATATTTTTTGAAACAGGGTAGACTTCACATTAATTAACATTGGAATAGAATCGTAGTCCTGTAAAATTTTTCCTTTTAGTTTTGGATTCAAGGAGTACATGTGCAGGTTTGTGTCATGGGTATATTGTATAATGCTGATATTTGAGTTTCTAATGATACCATCACCCAAGTAGTGAGCAGAGTAGCTGAGATGTAGTTTTTCAATGCCTGCCTTTCCTCCCCTTTTGGAATCCTAGTGTCTATTGTTCCCATCTTGGTATCCATGTGCACCCAATGTTTAACTCCCACTGTGAGAATATGTGGTATTTGGTTTTCTACTTCTGCATGTATTTGTTTAAAATAATGGCCTGTACCCTCATCCATGTTGCTGCAAAGAACATGATTTCATTCTGTTTTATGACTGTGTAATATTCCATGTCGTATGTGTACCATATTTTCTTTATCCAATCAATCGTTGATAAGCACCAAGGTTGATTCCATGTATTTGCTATTATGAATAGTGCTGCAATGAACACACAGTGCAAGTGTCTTTTTCATAGAACAATTTATTTTCCTTTGGGTATACACCCACTAATGGGATTGCTGGGTTGAATGGCAATTCTATTTTTAGTTCTTTGCGAACTCTCCAACCCCTGTGGAATATTTTGAAACTATAATTTATTACTGCCTTTTATACACCTTAGTGCTCTTTAACAAAGAATGGTCTTTTCAATGTATTTTACTAAAACATTCCACAGTTATGTACTTCTGAAATAAGAATTATTGAACATTTGCTGCAAGATGACATAGCATGAACCATAGAGGTTATAATAGATATTTAAGACACATCTCTATTCTCCACCTAAGGAACAAAGTCTTTTGAACACCAAAAATCTTATAAACAATATGTTTTAAGTCTCTATGGTGTACATTGTTAAAAAGTGCCTACCTTTTCCAAAATTCTTGCAGAATGAAGCCCGAGCTTCAGTTCCCTGACATGTACCCTCCCCAGCATTGATTTCTGCCCATCTAAATTTTTCCAGTGCCTGTTGGAACTCTGCTATTCTAAACAAATAAACATCTTCTAACTTGTTACTGAATGACTTATTTCATGGAAACTTTCCTTTGTTTTTAGATTTACTACTTTGTATTTGTTATAGGTGCTGCTCAGAAGTTGGTATCATTTTTCTTCCAAAAGATTATTCCTTTATCTTTCTAAAACAGAATGAGTGGGAAGGAAATAAGGATAGAAATGAGATACAGAAAGACAGAGACAAAGAGAGAGAGTAGGAGAGAGAAAGAGAAAGAGATAACTAGGAATAGCAAGTAGAAATTCATCTGGCCTCTTAGCATTCTTCTTTAAAATTACTCATTTGCATTTCATCCACACACTTCCAGGCCCATCAACATGGCCTTGCCCTCATCAGAACAGAGTTGTACCACCACTGTTATTTCACCCTTGGAAAAAGAAAAATCTTATGGCTTCATAAACCCAATCATCATAATCATCTGTTCAAATACATGAGCTAACAAGTCCTGTTGGTGTAAGTCCATAGTCCACAATGATGGAAGCCAATATATCATTGCTTGACAATCTTTATTCTTTTCTAACTTATTGTAAAAAACTTTGAGACCGGTGAAGAGATGTAAAGAATAGTATAATGGGCACCTGTATAATCAACATACAACTTAAAAATTAACATGAAATAAAAATATTTGGACCCTTCAGTGCAATCTTTTATCAAACCTTATTACAGCATCTACCTGATGGAATAAATGTTCAGTTGAATGGAGGTTTATTATTTCCATGATTTTGTAAATCCCATTTATATCTATCATTTATAAATTCCATTTATATCTATCCTAAGAGCTATGCATGCTTTAAAATGCTGTCCAAATATTATAATAAATACATATTCTGAAATTATGTCACTGATTTTATTAAAAATATAATCCTTACTTATACATGTAGACTGAGTTCCTGGGGGGGGTTTACAGTGCTTTATAGTATTGCACTTATAAATATAGCACAGTATACAATAAATCTCTTGCAAATGGATTTTGGGTTAGTTCCATTTTTTGATACAAACATGTTTTTGCATATTTTCATGTAAAGATGTAAGACATTATCTGGAGAATATCTCTAGAAATGGAACTGCTGTGCCATTTAATAAGGGAATGTTCAAATTAATTAAATATTACATGTTGTTTTTCCTCAGAAATATGAAGTCAGTGAGATATAGGACTCTGCTGTTGTTTTTCTGCTGTATTATCAATACCAAATAAAGTGCTTGACACATGGTAGGAATTAAATATTTATTGAGTGAATGAATCAATCAATGAATATTGACCATAATGGTGACAGTCAAATCTACCCCAACCATTTCCTGGGACAAACGCAAGAGAGTATAATGGAAGCACACATTCCATATGTATGAATATATTAAAATTATAAGAAAGCTAAGAAGCTGTTAAATAAAACAAATTCTATTTTTCTCCCCTGACAACTGTATTTTTTAAGTGATCTGGATGTCCAGATACACAGCTACATTGAACAATATAGCTGTCCTAGTTCATAAATAGTTGCTCTGTTAACACTCCCTGAAATGTCTACCATTTGATCACTGTCAGGTAAGGGGTACACAATCATGAGTATGATTTGCCCCCATGAAGTCATATCTAGGAAGGAGGCTGGTAGAGGCCCCGCAAATGGTCTGAGAATTTTTTGATAGAAAATCAAGGGTATCAGTTCCAAGCAGCCTTGTTTAGCAGAGGAGAGTGGTTGGTTTCAGGTGGGCACATTCTTGCTTTCTTATTTTCTGAGAAAGACATTGGAAAGAGAAGGGACAGACCAGGAGACCTCTTACGCATTATTGTTTACACATCTGTGATAAGCAGCCATTTAACAAATGTGTTTAAATTTCCAATCAGTTTTATTTTTATTATCAAAATAATACTAGTAGTTCTAGTAATACAAAAATATTACTAGAATCAAATAAGTTGAAAAGCCACAGATATACAAATTATAAGCACATTTTAAATTATAGGAGTCCACAAAGAAAATTGCATTTTAATAAATATAATCAGTAAAATGTAACAGAAAACTGTAAATAGCATTCACTGAAAGAGCACAAGAGCACAAAGGCAGCACGAGAACACAAAGATAGGTAATGTGGCAAACCACCATTATACTTGAAAGGTTGTCATTCTGCCATTATAATGAAACAAAAGTTATAAATGAAATAATGGTTTCCTCATATTAAGTATATACATATACTTATATATAGATACTTTGAACTAAGTTATATATATATATACTCTGAAGAAACACTGTGTGTATCTATAAAGTATTGTAATACAAATGAACTTGCTTCTTGCGCAATATCTAATCTTGGACAGACTGAAGACAATGGTATCCACAAGGGAAGATGATGTGTAGCTAAACTATTTCCACGTTTTGTTTTAATAGCATTCAGTGAGGAGAAATCATTTTTACACATCTATGTTAATGAGATTGTAATTAAAAAATTAGAAAGATTTAATGTAATTTATCGACAATGAAAAAATGTCTGTTTTAACAAGTAATATTGAATCATTTATCACTAGCCAATTCCAAATATTTAATTTGTAAAGATATAATAAGATTTTAAATTTTTCAATAAAAGAAATAAGCCCTGGAAACATAAATTTTCTCTATTTTTTAATGTATAGAAAATTTGAATTTAAGGTTTCTATAAATTTTCTTTTAACTGAAAATAAAATTCAAAATATTTTATGAAATTCATAAGTCATTCATTGATAACTTCCATAGGTCATCACCTACCTCTTTGATAATTGTTTTTGATAATAGTAACCCATAAAAGCAATCTAGAGAGAGTGTGTTTTCCTGAACTCCTCACTTTTGATTTATTTCCTTTGGATCTTATAAAAAAAAACAACCACCACCACCTGGCCGGGTGCAGGGGCTCATGCCTGTAATCTCAGCACTTTGGGAGGCCGAGGTGGGCCAATCACTTGAGGTCAGGAGTTCAAGACCAGCCTGGCCAACATGGCGAAACCCTGTCTCTACTAAAAACAAAAAACAAAAAACAAACAAAAAACAAAAAAAACCCTAACATCACCTGCAGAAAACCAAATGGGTTTGGAGATCCCTCCAAGCCCAAACAAAAGAGAATTATAATAGTTTGACTTGTCTAGCAGCTACCTGGAAAATTCCTATTCTTACTGCTTCCTTTCATTTGACCTGAGGACTTGCTCAGTGATGAAAGCCCTATCCCCAGAAATTTTGTTGAAAAATGTTCATGACAATTGCTCAGCATTGTTGCTGAACATATTATCTGAGGTGGTAACATCATTGGGAGAAAAGAGACAGACAAAAATACTTACCCAAGACACATGTGCAGAAAGACCTGAGAGGGCACCAATTTCTCATTTCTGTCTGAGCTGGAGGCCTCTGTAAAAACAGGAAGTGAAGGCTAAGAGAGCCTTGTAAACTCCTTGATCATTTAAAGCATGTCCCAACAAACACACACAGCCCTCCAGCAAAGGGTGTGAGAAACTGCTTCAGGTTATTTAAGAAATCTCTCTCCAGTCGTTAGCAGGCCACTAAGCTAATCAAAAAGAGATTTCATTGGCCATATGCAATAATGAATACAGTCATTATGTGTCTGGAGTTGGTTCCTGCCAGTGGGTTCCTGATCTCGCTGACTTCAAGAATGAAGCCGTGGACCTTCATGGTGAATGTTACAGCTCTTAAAGATGGCACGGACCCAAAGAGTGGGCAGTAGCAAGGTTTATTGTGAAGAGTGAAAAACAAAGCTTCCACACCGTGGAAGGTGACCACAGCAGGTTGCGGCTGCTGGCTGGGGTGGCTAGCTTTTATTCCTTTATTGTCCCCTCCCATATTCCATTTCTGTCCTATCAGAGTGCCCTTTTTTTCATTCCTCCCTGCGATTGGCTACTTTTAGAATCCTGCTGATTGGTGTGTTTTACAGAGTGCTGATTGGTGCATTTTACAGAGCACTGATTGGTGCGTTTTACAGAGTGCTGATTGGTGCGTTTTACAGAGCGCTGACTGGTGCATTTTACAATCCTCTTGTAAGACAGGAAAGTTCCCTAAGTCCCCACTTGGCTCAGGATGCCCAGCTGGCCTCACCTCTCAATTACAGAAGTTGTTCATGGAATTTATTAAACAAACAATTGACAACAACAATAACATAACAAATAGCAACATAAAACCCAGGACATGGGATCCTTAATTTCCACAGTTGCCACATTATCATTTAAAATGTGCAGACATGCAAAGAAACAGAAAAATTTGGCCCATATACAGGACAAAATAAAAGACAATAGACAATTTCCCTAAGGAACCATAAGTGCTGGAATTTTTAGAAAAGTATTTTAAGTCAGCATTATACATATTTACAAAGATTTCAAGGAAACGATGTCAAAGAATTATAGGAAAATATGACAACAATTTGAGAATGCCAATAAAGAAATTTAAATTATAAAAAGGGACAGATGGAAATGTTGAAGTTGGAAATTTCAATAACTGAAATGAAAATTTACTACAGGGGTTCAACAATATATTTGAGGTGGTAGAAGAAAGAATCAGCAATCTTGAAGCTTGGTCAATTGAGTTTAACCAGTCTTAGGAACATTAAAACAATAAAGAGATATAGAGTTTAGAGACCTGTGGAACACTATAAAGTGTATGCACAATAGAATCCCAGAATAAAAGAAGATATAGACTCAAAACAATATTTAAATAATGGACAAATAATTCTCAATTTTGATGAAAAATATTTATCTGCATATCCAAGGAGGTCAACAAACTCTAAAAAAGCTCAACTCAAAGAGAGGTGAACAAAATTATTGTTACGAAACAAAGCCAGACAATTCTAAAGGCAGCAAGAGAAATCCAACTCATCAAGCACAAAAGGTCATTAACATTAACAGTGGGAGTCTATGTCTTTTTTTTAGGTCTCTAAGAATATGCTTTATGAATCTGGGTGCTCCTGTGTTGGGTACGTATATATTCAGGATAGTTAGGTCTTCTTGCTCAATATCAATACTACTATAAGTTTTATTTATAATAGTCAAAAATGGGAAAATGGGAAACACCAAATGACCATCAATGGGAAAATGAATAAACATTTGGTGCTATACCTATACAACTGAGTACTATACAACAATAAAAGGAAAGACCTAATAACACATGCCACAACATTAATGAATCTCAAAATAATTAGACTGAAAGAAACTAAACGACAAAAATGCATACTGTATAATTCCATGTATACAAAATTCTAGAAAATTCAGATTAATCTATAGTGACAGAATGCACATCAGTGGTTGGCTGAAAAAGACAGGGAAAGGTGAAAGACGGTAATAATAATTGGCTACAAAAATATTTAGAGTAATGAATATATTCAATATTTTAACTATGATGATTGTTTCATGGGCATACACATATGTCAAAACTTCTCAGTGACAAGGCACGCTTACAGTCCCAAAAATTCATTAAATGTAGTCCTTCAAAAATGATGTTTCCTTCTCCTGCTCTTTCGAGTTGTTCTTCATTATATAGTAATTTATATTTTTAGTCCTAACATCAATGTTGTATTATTTTCAACTACACCTGCTCTCTCATCTGTTAATGCCCCTGGTGCTTTAACTTAATGATAATTTAGTACCTATTTATCCAATGTATTTAATTAACACTTTATATTTCTTCTGTTTTGGGATAGAGTATGCTATATGATCCTCACAGGTTTTTAATAGTAAAGTACATTCATATACTTAGATTATATTTTTGACCAGTAGGTACAATTTCTAAATATAAATGTTATTAATATCTTATAAATCAAGTTAGTCATATTATGATTGTTTTTTCAGTCTCCTTTTTCATTTTAACTTTCTATACTTTTAATGTTCATTAAAAAATCTAATAATTACTTACTATACTTTGTATTCTTACTCTTTTCCTGGCCATTGCTAGGTACTTTATATTTACTATCATATTTAACATTAATGACACTATCCAAAATAGATATTATATCCTCATTTCATAGATGAGGTAACTGAGGCTCATGTACTTTCTCACATAGTATCAGAGGTCGGACACATATTTAGTTTGGTCTTATTTGAAGACCAATGCTTCTAAATTATGTTGTATTATTTTGTCATTTTAGCTGTTTGATGGAATGCTAAATTGTATTTCTACTCTTTAAAGCATATGCTTTCTCGCCAGATGATGTTTATAGATAGTTCTCTCTGCCTATCAGATGGCATTTTTCACATTTTAAACACCATAATCTTGGCTAAATGATCTCCAGAGTATTTTTCTATTTGAAATTCGGTCACTATCCATGAGTTTTCCTCACCTATTTGGAAATTTAATGTTGGAATCTGATTTCTTCTGAAATACCTTTTAGTCTGAATGATCTATTTAATTTCCTCATCCTGAAGTAGTTTACATACTATTGCGATGGTTATTTCCAATACTTTCTGCTTTTACTTTTAAAATAGCAATTTTTCAACTTCACTCTGTCCTACACTTCAATATACCAGTAAGTCATGGACCATAGTTAAGTGACTAACATATTTTTCATAATCAATGATGAAAATTATAAAATGAACCTAATATTTATACAGTAACTGTAATGTGCTAATCACTGTTTAAGTGCTTTACATTTTTTATGTAATCTAAACTGATAATAAGTTTATGAAATAGGTAACATGATCAGCCCCAACTTTATAAATGAAGAGACAATATAAGATGTTTTACAAATTACCAATATCACTCTGCTAGTAAGTGGTAGAGTAGGGGTTTGAACTCAAGCATTTTGTTCTCAGATTTCATGCTACTAAATTCTTTGTTCTACTGCCCATCATTAAAGAAAAATGCATTTCTAATTCCGGGTTGTCAATTTCTCTTCTTTTCAAAAAACTCTCAGTGCATTTTTATCTGTTTCTGTCACATAAAAGTAGAATTAAAACGCTGTTTTACAATACTTTTTTCTGGAATTCTAAAAATAATACTGACATCTAAATGTAGCCTTCTAGGAGAAAAAGTAATGTAACCTTTTACAGGCAGATCCCAACCTGTCACAATTATATGTATTATATATTAAATTATTAGACTAATATCTGAATCTATTTCCTTTATCCTAATTGCGCCTTGACTGTGTCCTTACTGTTCCAAACAAAGTTATCAGGTTACTCCTTCTTTTACTTCCTGTTTACTTGAAACACACATATATAATATCCCAGAATACTATGCCAGAAAATACATATTCTTACCCTGCTTCACCATAATCATGATTACCCAAATTTTCATCTGACAATATTCTTCTAAAATTGCTAAATTACCTGTTTGGTTTGGTAAACTATATGCAAATGTATCTCCTCAATTCCTCTTTCATTATTTTATTTTCAATGCTGTTTTTTATTCTCCACCGTTAAAAAACTGTAGTTTGCTCTGCTGATACTTAAATCTGTTTAAACATATCATTCTTTTAAAATTTTACTTGCATTATACTATACATTAAAGGTAATAGCCAAGTTTATCAATTCTTTTTTTCCAAAAACTCCTCAAATATTTATAGAATTCAATGTTGAGCCCTTCTGTCAGAGGGATGCTTCTTTTCACTCACAATCATATTGTTCTATCAATTTTTAAACACTCAGAAGATTTCACTAAAAGATCATACACAACAAAAACAAGATGGGTGTTAAGAAGCATCAAACAATCCAATTTACACCATGACGACTTGACCTGAGAGTTTTCCAGTGTCTGGAAACTAATTACATTACAGGCCCTTAATAGCTGGGATGTATTTTTCATGGAAATGCATGCATAACTACACAGTCTTCTAGTCTGACTTATTAATACTAACTTTCTAGTTCCTGAACTATCTTCAAGAAGGTAGACATTTAACACCCACACTTCAGCATGTGCTTCTTAGACAACCTGACATTTCCTTGTCAAAACCAATTCTATCTTCCAGGACACCTGAGGTTTTTCCTCTCATTCCCAAGTTCAGATCTCTGAGACACACCCATTTCAAGGTAACTGCCTCTCAATATGTGTTACTCTTTAAAAATTTAGAAGTGAGCATACCCTTGAAGAACATATAAGATATTTAATTTTAACAAAAAAATGTTTATAAGTGAAATGTATCTACAGATATCTGAGAAAAAAAAATGAGACCATGGTTTAAAAATTCTAACCCAGGTCAAACTCACATCTATGTGGGAAAAATATGTCATGCATAATATGCCTGGAAGTTACTCAAAAGAGCTCAAAAGACAGAGCTAGGTACTCTTGCAGCCTCAGTAAATTTTCAAAATGCTTCAATACCATCCCCTCCTTATACTTTCTTTTACTTACTCCACAATCCTTTCAACCTTTACCGTAGTTAATCAACCAAACAGAGACAGTAAGACCAACTATGCTCTAACATAACTGCAACTTATGACAAATTGAGATTACCTGCTTAACATGAGGGCTAAGCTTTCTAGCAATATTTATATAGCACGTTTAAGACGTTCTTTTACATGCGTGATCTCACCCACCCTACTCCAGTCACTTAACTACATATAGTTACTCAAACCTCATGCTCCTTTACGCCGACGGGGACTCTGAAGGATCTTGGGAATCCCGAATGCAGCCACTGGAAATGTACTAGATATTGTATTCACTAAATAGGTTTAGAAGATACATAGACAGTCTCTTTGTGTCACCTTGGTCCCTCACCCAAAATGTAGTTCAAAGCCTCTGTAAGATTGAATATTAGAGTAAGGGAAAACATTAAAAGAGCAACCTCATCTCAGTGGGTTATGAAGGCATCAAATCAGATGTGATCCTCAGGATGGAGCAGGAAGAAGCACCATGGATTTTTAAGGATGCATGTCCAGGCTGCCACTGTTGACCAGGTACCCGACAAGTAAACTTCCCGATGAAAGGACAGCAAAGCATGCTTTTAAGATAAAGTGCACGCTTCAATTAAAAAAAAATTGCCAAAGATAAGAAGCTATGAATAATGTTCAGGAAAATATTACTTTTGAACGCTGATAATTTCTGTTCAATTCAAAGTTTTAATAATTGAAATACTTCTGGAAAGAGCTTGAAATATAATTTAGACCTGGTAGGTTTTAAGGTAAACTACTCAAAAAAATAAGTTGCTTAGGAAGTTGTTAGATAAGTGTACAAACTGTGATAAAAGACATAACAGGAAAAATCCTGGGAATGCAGCCACTGTGAGAAAGCTTTCAGCCATAACACAGCACTTACGTATAAACTAGTAGTAACCAATTATCTTATGTACAAGTGAATAAAGATCCACCTGAAGAGAAATTACACATCTGTGAGGAATATGAAAAAGCCTTCTGCCACAAGTCTGAATTCATTAGGCATCAGAGAAATCACACTAGGGAGTAACCATATGGGTGTACTAACTGTGGGAAAACCTTTTCACATAAGTCAACCCTCATCAAACATCAAAGAATTCACACTATGTTTTTTGTAGGAAAGCCATCACTCATAATCATATCTCACAGAACATCAGAGAACACATACAGGAGAAAGAACCTTTGTGTCTTTGTGTGCAATGAATGTGGAAAGTCATTTGACAAAAAAGTCATACCTCAATGTACATTGAAAAACCCATGCAGTATAAAGACCTGTTGTTGTAGAGAATGTGGAAAATCCTTTAGTCAGAAGTCATGCAACAATAAATATTGGAGAACTCATACAGAAGAGAAAACATGGATGCAATGAATGTGGCAGTTTTCTACCAGAAGACAACACTTGTAGACATGATAAACTCATGCTAGAAAGAATGCCTAGAAGAACTGAAATATAATTGTGAGACAGCCTTGATCAAGATACACAATTTCATTGTGTATTCAGGAATGAATCCTTAGGAGAAATTTTATCAATATAGAGAACTTGTACAAACTCTTTTGGCCTAAGTGCCATCATGATTTAATTTTATGAAGGAGATTATGAATATACTTTAAAAACATAAATATAATCACTCTGGACAGAGTGAATTCTGGAATGTGAAAGTTTAAAAAGGTATTATGAATGCCCTGGATGCTTAATACCAAGTTTTTTTTATCATTCTGATAATTTTAAAAGTCCTGCTTTCCTGAGTTGCCATGTCATCCACATAAGAAAAGAAATGTTTACTTGAAACCTACTTTATTCAACATTTTCCTCCAGGTCAGAATGTCTGATCCTGATGAGAAAGGCCACGTAATCATAGATATAGACATAATTAAAAGAATGACAAGAAATACTAGACTTAGTCCATTTACATTGCTATTACAAATTACCATAAACTAGGTGGATTATAAACTATAGAAATTTATTTCTCAAAGTTCTGCAAGCTGGAAGTCCAAGATCAAGCCATCCATAGATTTAGTGTCTGGTTCATAAATAGCTATCTTCTAACTATAACTTCACATGCAGTAGAGGAGAAGAAGCTCCCTGGGATCCCTTTTACAATGGTACTAATTACATTCATAAAGGATTTCTCACTCATAACCTAATCAACTCTCAAAGTCTCCACACCCAAATATTATGACATTGAATATTAGCTTTCAAGATATGAATTTTGAGGTGAAGCAAACTTTCTAATTGTAGCAATACCTCATACAATTCCAATAAATATATTTTAAGAAAAGCAGATGAATGCTTTTCAACAAAATATGTTATGAGAATAGTGATAAGAAGTATAAAGCATGATAGAACAATCACTATTAAAGAATTTGAAAGAGTGATTAAAAATCTAAGAATAAAAAATGCTCCATACCCACATGGTTTAATAATTAGTTCTATCTAACCTTTAAAGAAAGAAGTTCCAAGATGATTTAAAATATTTCAATCCATAAAGTATAGCCCAAAATTTATTTCATAAGGTCAGGATAAGTTTAACAGCAAAAACAAATAGAGTTTTAAAAAAGCTCCAGATGAAGCTTACTCATGATTACAAAAACAAAAATTATAATTAAAATAGAAAACAGAATTCAATAATATACCTAAAGAATGATATATTATGATCACCACATAAGAATTATCTCAAAAAGTAGTAGAAAAGAAATGGCAAAACTGTCACTTTTGCTGATGATATGATTGTGTAAACAGACTTTCTTGTATATGTGGAAGCTAAAGGAAAAATAATATTGTCAAGGTAGAAAGTGGAATGATAGTTACCAGATGCTGGGAAGGATATGGGTGTATATGAGGAAGGTGCATATAAAGAGGTTTTTTAATGGGCACAAACATACAGTTAGATAGAATGGATAAGTTCTAATGTTCAGTTGTAAGTAGGGTGATTATAGGTAACAACAATATATTGTACATTTCAAAATAGCTAGAAGTGAGGACTTAAAATGTTCTCAACACATAGAAATACTAGATGGTGATTGACATCCTTAGCATCCTGACTTGATCATTCCACATTCTACTCATGTGACAAAATATCACAGGTACTCCATAAATATGTGCAAAAATTTATCCATAAAATATATTCTAATATTCTTTCTTAGTTAAAACAATTTTCTAAGAAGGAAGGGTACAGAAATCAAGAGCAATTTTCTGTGTTGACAATAAACACCTAATAACATATACGCACTTCTACTGAATACAAGGAGTCAAGAATCCGAAGGGGCTATTTTAGGGGATGCCTGCCCCCATACTATTATATTACTAATTTATATGAACACTTTCATTTAAAATACTAATAGTTTTCAACATTTGCTACAAACATTTCTGCATTAGTTCATTCTCATGCTGCTATGAAGAAATACCTGAGATTGGGTAATTTATAAAGAAGAGTTTTAATTGACTTACAGTTTCACGTGGCTGGGAAGGCCTCAGGAAACTTATAGTCATAGTGGAACACACCTCTTCTCAGGGTGGCAGGAGAGAGAATGAGTGCCAAGCGAAGAGGGAAGCCCCTTACAAAACCATCAGATCTTGTGAGAACTCACTATCATGAGAAAAGCACGGGGGAAACCAAACTGATATAAACTAGCCTAAGTGATAGAGGTTACTTAGGAATGCCAGAGTGTAGAATCATATTTTCATCTCTAAGAGAGAACTTGACTGCTGGATTTTATCTGATAACACACCAAAGTACCTATCATATATTCACATTGTTTATAGGTATAATAAAATTCTAAGTATAATTACATTTACCTAGACATGTATATTTCTTGGTCCAATCCAACCAACATATAAAAGTAACCACTAAAATCTACTTGTTATCGTAACTGTTCATTTTCCACGTGAAACAATTAACAAAGATTCCATTACAAAATAAAGTGCTTTCTAATGGCATGAGCAAGCAGTTAGCAATTTAAGTATACAGATTCTCTCAGAATTGTACTCCTGTATTTCTGAGGAACAAATACAATTAAGAGAGAATTGTCAGAGATATGTCTGTGGAAGCACAAATTTGAACTGAACAAAAATACGAAGGCATTTTTAACTGATTGAACAAAGTATCAGAAGCCTTATTATATTTTCCCACAGAAGCCAAATAAATAACAAAATGTTAAACTATTTCTAGCTATTTTGAGTAGTAGCACTGTCACACAACTATTTTATCTATTACTTTCTGTCAGATCAATGCACTGGTTCTTCTCACATAGTAGCAAAAATCCCAGGCATGACAGAAAGAATTGGAAGCTACAAATCAGAGCAGTTCTCAAATGGATCTGTCACTTGTTTAAAGACAATGGTTTAAATTCAAAGATATTTGTCCAATATGCTCTTGTTAGGTAAAATTTCTATATTATTTTTCCAGTAAAAATAAATATACATCAATAAGCACTGAGCTTAATATTGACTGTCTTAATCACCAAACTGGGATATTCTCAATTTAGTTCTAAATATTATTAAGCAATATTTTTGCTGATTAAATTTTTTATTAATAAAGCAATGGCTTGAGTTTGAAACTCTACTTGGATACTTTTGCATTCCTTTGAAAATAAATAATATTCTATACTTAAGTGTCATTTCAAAACAGCTTGTAAACATTTATAACGTAAATATTAAGAATGGCCTCTCATTTATACTAGAACCAAATAACTTCAATTTTCTATAATCCCTGATGCCTTAACTTGTGTCAGTCTGGAACCACAGAAGCATAGGTTAGAGCAGGGGAAAAAAAAACAGGCATTATAGGAGCACAAATACATAAAATAAATGGGTCTTTAATGTTTTTTCCCACATGTATCATCCTTGTTTGCAGACGACATGATCCTATATCTAAAAAACCCCATCATCTCAGCCCAAAAGCTTCTTAAGCTGATAAGCAACTTTAACAAAGTCTCAAGATACAAAATCAATGTGCAAAAATTGCTAGCATTCTTATAGACCAACAACAATCAAGCCAAGAGCCAAATCATGAATGAACTCTGTATTAGTCAGTTTTCATGCTGCTAATAAAGACATACCAAAGACTGGATAATTTACAAAAGAAATAGGTTTACTAGGACTTACAGTTCCACGTGGCTGGGGAAGCCTCACAATCATGGTGGAAGGCAAAGAGGACCAAGTCCTATCTTACATGGATGGCAGCAGGCAAAGAGAGAATGAGGAAGATGCAAAAGTGAAAACCATTGATAACCATCAGACCTTGTGAGACTTATTCACTACCATGACAACATTATGGGAGAAACTTCCTCCATGATTCAGTTATCTCCAAGTGGGTAACCTCTGACAACAAGTGGGAATTATGGGAGTACAACTGAAGATGAGATTTGGGTGGGAACACAGAGCCAAATGATATCAAACTCCTATTCACAATTGTCACAGAAAGAATAAAATACCTGGGAATACAACTAACAAGGGAAGCGAAAGAGTTCTTCTCTGCAAGGAGAACTACAAACCACTGCTCAAAGAAATCAGAAATGACACAAACGAATGAAGAAGCATTCCATGCCCATGAATAGGAAGAATCAATTTTATGAAAATGACCACACTGCCCCAAGCAATTTAAAGATGCAATGCTATTCCCATTAAATTACCATTAACATTCTTCACAGAAATAAAGAAAATGATTTCAAAATTCATGTGGAAATAAGAAAGAGCCTGAATAGCCAAGGCAATCCTCAGTAAAAGGAATGAACCTGGAGACATCACGTTACACAACTTCAAACTATACTACAGGGCTATAGGGACCAAAACAGCATGGTACTGGTACAAGAACAGACACATAGACCAATGAAACAATAGAGAACCCAGAAATAAGACTACACATCTACAACTATCTGATTTTCTACAAACCTGACAAAAACAAGCAATAGAAAAAGGATTCCCTATTCAATACATAGTGCTGGGGTAACTGGCTAGCCATATACAGAAAATTAAAACTGGACCCCTTTTTTACCATGTACAAAAATTTATGGATTATTTCTGTATAATCCCTGGATTAAAGACCTAAACATAAAACCCAAAACTATAAAAACCCTGGAAGACAACCCAGGCAATACCATTCTGGACATAGGAACATACAAAGATTTCATGAGAAAGATGACAAAAACAATTGCAACAAGAACAAAAATTGACAAATGGGATCCAATTTTAAAAAAGAGTTTCTGCACAGCAAAAGAAACTATCAACAGAGTAAACAGACAGTGTAAAGAATGGGAGAAAATTTTTGCAAATTATGCATCCAACAAAGGTCTAATATCCAGCATCTATAAGGAACTTAAATTTATAAGAGAAAAGCAAACAACCCCAGTGAAAAATGGGCAAAGGACATGAACAGAAACTTTTCAAAAGAAGACATACATCCAGCCAATGATCATATGAAAAAAGGCTCAACATCACTGATTATTAGAGAAATGCAAATCAAAACTACAATGAGATACCATTCACACGAGTCAGAATGGCTATTACTACAGAGTCAAAAAATAACAGATGATGATTAGGTTGTAAAGAAAAAGAAACACTTATACATTGTTAGTGGGAGTGTAAATTAATTAAACCATTGTCAAAGACAGTGTGGCAATTCTTCAAAGACCTACAGTCAGAAATACTGTTTGACCTAGAAATCTCATTAGTAGGTATATAAGTAAAGGAATATAAATCATTCTATTATAAAGACACACAAATGCATATATTCATTAGAGCATGATTCACAATAGTAAAGACATGGAATCAACCCAAATATCCATCAGTGATAGAGGAGGTAAAGAAAATGTGGTATATACACACCATAAAATACTATGCAGCTATAAAAAAGAATGAGATCATTTCCTTTGCAGGGTCATGGATGGAGCTGGAGGCCATTATCCTTAGCAAACTAATCCAAGAACAGAAAACCAGATAGCACATGTTCTTACTTATAAGTGGGAGCTAAATGATGAGAACACATTGATACATAGAGGGGAAAAACACACACTGGGGCCTATCAGAGGGTATAGGGTGGAAAGAGGGAGAGGATCAGGATCAGGAAAAATAACTAATGGCTACTAATACATGGTTAATTAATTATTAATACATGGTTGCTAAAATAACTGGTACAACAAATCTCCATGACACACACATTTACCTATATAAAAAACCTGCACATCCTGCACATGTAATGCTAAACTTAAAGTTAAAAAACAAACAAAAATTATAGAACAAATAGGGAATTTTGAGCAGGAAATGAGAATATAAAAATAATGCAAACTGATATCTAAAATGGAAAAGCATTTAAGTGAAAATTTAACTAAATGAACTTGGAAGCATATTAGAAGCTGGCAAAGAGATGATTAGTAAACGTGAAGATAGGACAATAGAAACTCTCCAAACAGAGTCATTCAGATCAACAAGTCAGAATAAAATGAATGACGCTCAATGACATTGATATGGTTTGGCCATATCCCCACCCAAATGTCATCTCCAATAGTAGCTCTCATAATTCCCGTGTGTTGTGGGAGGAACCCAGTGGAAGATAATTGAATCATGGGAGCTGTTTCCCCCCATACTGTTCTTGTGGTAGTGAATAAGCATCATGAGATCCGATGGTTTTATAAGAGGCGTTTCCCTGCACAAGTTTTCTCTTGTCTGCCTCGATATAAGATTGACTTTCACCTTCTGACTTGATTGTGAGGCCTCCCCAGCCACATAGAACTGTTGGTCCACTAAAAGTCTTTTTCTTTATAAATTACCCAGTCTCAGGTATCTCTTTATCAGCAGCATGAAAACGAACTAATACAGATGTGTTGGATAATATCAATATGTGTTAGTAACACACATATTAGATATGTATTAAACACATATATTAGACCAGAAAAATGAAGAGATGTTAGAGAAGAGAAATATTTGTAGAAGTTGTTGTCAAATGTTTTCTAACTCTGATATAGATCTCATATATCCATGAATCTCAGTAACTCCCAAGCCAAATGAACACAGTAAATCAGAAAATGGCACAAATTTCCAAAAATAAATTATTTTTTAAAAAATCTTGGCCAGGCGCGATGGCTGACACCTGTAATCCCAGCATTTTGGGAGGCTGAGGCAGGCAGATCACGAGGTCAGAAGTTCGAGACCAGCCTGACCAACATGGTGAAACCCCATCTGTAATAAAAATACAAAAATTAGCCGGGCCTGGTGGCGCACACCTGTAATCCCAGCTACTCAGAAGGCTGACACAGGCGATTCACTTGAACCCTGAGGCAGAGGTTGCGGTGAGCTGAGATTGTGCCCATTGCACTCCAGCCTGGGCAACAGAGCAAGACTCCGTCTCAAAAAAAAAAAACCCAAAATCAAACAACCAAACAAAAATTCTTAATAGCAATGAGGAACAACAACAACAACAAAATACTACTTACAATGGATTAACAATAAGAACAACTCCAGACTTCTTGTGAAATAATTTTTCTTGTAAAATAATATTATTTGGCTATTGAACCAAAGGAAATACAACACTATACAGGGTGTTGCTTATTGTGCAAAATGGAAAACAATGAAGCATCTTTCAAGTGCTGAAAAAATAAGAAAATAATGTTAACTCAGACTTTCATAGCTAGCCTAAAGAAAATCCTTCAAAAGTAAAGATGCAATAAAGATATTTCTAGACAAACAAAAGTTATTTCGTTTTCTTTAGACCTGCATTATAAGAAAAAATAAGTAATTTCCTCAGGCAAAAGGAAACGTTAATAGTTGGAATCCCTGATCTACACAAAGAAATGAAATGTGCTGAAATGGTAAATGTAACAAATTTTCTTTCATGTCTTAATTTCTTTAAAATATAATTGGCAGTGTAAATCCAAGTTAATAACTAGATAGTGTAAGATTTTAACATATATAAGAGTAAAATATACAGGTATAACAGTACAAATGATGGGAAAGGAAAATAGACACCAACTATTGTTAAGCTTCTGATGTTACATGTGAAGTATTAAAATAATTATTTAGGGGCAACTTGTAAAAAGTTAAAGATGCATGCTGTAAACCCAGGAGCATCCTTTTAGAAAATAAAACAAAGATAAAACTACTAGTTCAATAAAATATATAAAAATTGATACTAAAGAGTATTAATCTAAAAAGAAAGCATAAGAATAAGAATTTAAAAAGAACAGATTAAACAAATAAAAACAATAGCAAGACAGTAGAATTAATTCCAACCATATCACTAATTAGGTCAAATACGAATAGATGTGACATCTTATTTAAATAACAGAGCTTAAGAGGCTAGATAAAAAAGCAAGATAAAACTATATGCTGTTTTACAGGAGATGCATATTAAACATAAAGTCATTTCATTTTGAAATACAGTGAACGTCTGCTATGCATATAATCCTATATGCAGTAATTATTTGTTAAATTATATAGCCTAATAATTCTTTTTGTAAGCTTCCATTCTAGGAAAAACCATGAAGACCAAATGTGGTGTATTATAAATTATTTTTACTATGTTCAATTGTTACCAAATTCTGTTTCCTCTTCTATGAAAACATCACAATACTTAAAACTTTCTATTGTCGGCCACCTTTGGGTTCCCCCTGACTTACATTAATGAACATTTCAACTACTGACATCATAGTATATTCATGGATATAGATCGGTTTGGAAAATTCAAAATGCAGAATCATATCATTTTGCTTCTAAATAGAAAGGTAAGTATGGTATTGAACATGGCCAATACTGGATATAAATTATATAGACTAATTATACTCAAAGGATGATCCATAAACCATCTCTTAATATGTGAACTTTTTTTTTTTTTGGTTGTTATGTGATAAGGAACTTGCACAAAAATACAAAACAACCTAATCACTAGGTTCACTGTTTGGCTCAGCAAATATTTTTCCCTCTTTAGTAATCTGACTTTCTTCAAGAACGAAGTAGTTTGTTGATTTACATTCTGATGCAAGTTCCTTATCACAAACAATACTTTGAGTAACATTAAAAACTGTGAAATGAGTGGTTCTTGGTGTCTCATTACTGATTTTGAGCAAAACTTCTCTTCCAATGATTCTGTCATTTCAGTGTTCTTGTGAAATAAAAGTGAAGATATGTAAAGATGTGGGGCAGTGTGACCTGTGGTTAGATGAATGGTCTGAAATTCTTGAAGGTTTGATAACTCTAAAATATTTGTCTGAGACTTCTTCTTTTTCCCTTGGAAGCAATATTTGGTGAAGCTCAGTCAAGTTTCATGAAGTCCATGTAATATAAATTACATGTACAGCATAAGTGCTATCAGAATTATTATACATGATCCAAATACTGAGGCTTGCACAGATTATAAAAAATAATTTTTTAGCATCAGTGGCATTTTGGATGAGTATATCATAATATACCCTTTTGTTGAGGATAGGTGTAAACAAGGATCTCTATTAGAATTTTGCATAATTATCATATTGAGTTTTGCAAATGTCTCATAAAATAGAATGTTAAACCTACTAAACTTAAAATGGTTAAGAAGCTTATCTAAAGAAGTACAGTTTTGACCCAGACCATCAGCACTCATGATCCCAACTATGCTATCTGTCTAAAGAATGAATAGAATATTGCCCAGACAAGGTAGAATAAAATAAGTTCCTTAACAATGTCAAGTTGTAATGCAATGAATGGTCTTTGAATGTTTAAGGTTAGAAAAGAGGCAAGATAACAGACTGTGAGGATGCTTAAGAGAAGAGAATGAGAGATGAGAAGAAAAGGATGTTCAATGTCAGATTTCAAAAGGGTTTGTACACTGAGAGTTGAGTTTTGATTTTATACTTTAAAGATAATTTTAGAACTTTTAGTAATTGTTTTCTTTTAATAGATATAAGGAGATAAGTAATGCTACTATAAATCTGGTGCCAAGCTGGAGAATAAATCAATTTGGAGAAAAACTGGCTAGAGACACAACAGTTAAGGATCAACTGAGATAAAACAGACTTTAAACCAACAAAGATTAAAAAAAAAAAAAGACAAAGAAGGGCATTACATAATGGTAAAGGCATCAGTGCAACAAAAAGAGTTAACTATCCTAAATATATATGCACCCTATACAGGAGCACTCAGATTCATAAAACAAGTTATTAGAGACCTATAAAAAAACTTAGACTCCCACACAACAATAGTGGGAGACTTTAATGTCCCACTGTCAATATTAGACCGATCAACAAAACATAAAATTAATAAGGATATTTAGTACTTGAACTCAGCTCTGGACCAAGTGGACCTAAATAGACATCTACAGAACTCTCCACCACAAATCAACAGAATATGCATTCTTCTCAACACCACACAGCACTTATTCTAAAATAGGCCACATAATTGGAAGTAAAACCCTCCTCAGCAAATGCAAAAGAATGGAAATCATAACAAACAAACATTCTCTCAGACCACAGTGCAATCAAATTAGAACTGAGGATTAAGAAAATCACTCTAACTCGCACAACTACATGGAAATTGAATAACCTGCTCCTGAATGATTACTGGGTAAATAACAAAATTAAGGGACAAATAAAGAAGTGTTTTGAAACCAATGAGAACAAAGACACAACATACCAGAATCTCTGGGACATAGCTAAAGCAGTGTTAAGAGGGAAATTTATAACACTAAATGCCCACATCAGAAAGCTGGAAAAATCTGAAATCAACACCCTAACATCACCATTAAAAGAACTAGAGAAGCAGGAGCAAACAAATTCAAAAGCTAGCAGAAGAGAAGAAATAACAAAGGTCAGAGCACAAATGAAGAAGACAGAGACACGAAAACTCCTTCAAAAAAATCAGTGAATCCAGCAGCTGGTTTTTTGAAAAGATTAACAAGATACATAGACCACTAGCTAGACTAATAAACAAGAAATGAGAGAAGAATCAAATAGACACAATAATAAATGATAAAGGGGATATCACCACTGATTCCACAGAAAAACAAACTACCATCAGAGAATGGGTAAATTCCTGGACACATACACCCTCCCAAGAGTAAACCAGGAAGAAGTCGAATCCCTGAATAGACCAATAACAAGTTCTAAAATTAAGGCAGTAATTAATAGCCTATCAACCAAAAAAAGTCCAGGACCAGATGGATTCACAGCCGAATTCTGCCAGAGGTACAATGAGGAGTTGGTACAATTCCATCTGAAACTATTTCAAACAATTCCATCTGAAACTATTTCAAACAATTCCATCTGAAACTATTTCAAACAACAGAAAAAGAGGGGCTCCTCCCTAAATCATTTTATGAGCTCAGCATCATCCTGATACCAAAACCTGGCAGAGACACAACAAAAAAAGAAAATTTCAGGCCAATATCCCTGATGAACATCGATGAGAAAATTCTCAATAAAATACTGGCAAACCAAATCCAGCAGCACATCAAAAAGCTTATCCACCATGATCCAGCAGGATTCATCCCTGGGATCCAAGGCTGGTTCAACATACGCAAATCAATAAATGTAATCCACCACATAAACAGAACCAATGACAAAAACCACATGATTACCTCAACAGATGCAGAAAGGGCCTTCGATAAAATTCAATATCCCTTCATGCTAAAAATTCTCAATAAACTAGGTATTCATTGAACATATCTCAAAATAATAAGAGCATTATGATAAACTCATAGCCAATATCATACTGAATGGGCAAAAACTGGAAGCATTCCCTTTGAAAACTGGCAGAAGACAAGGATGCCCTCTCTCACCACTCCTATTCAACATAGTATTGGAAGTCCTGGCCAGGGCAATCAGGCAAGAGAAAGAAATAAAAGTATTCAAATAGGAAGAGAGGAAGTCAAATTGTCTCCACTTGTAGATGACACGATTGTACAATTAGAAAGCCCCATTGTCTCAACCCAGAACTCCTTCAGCTTATAAGCAACTTCAGCAAAGTCTTAGGATACAAAATCAATGTGCAAAAATCACAAGCATTCCTATACATCAATAATAGACAAGCAGAGAGCCAAATCATGAGTAAACTCCCATTCACAATTGCTATAAAGACAATAAAATACCTAGGAATACAACTTACAAGGGATGTGAAGGACCTTTTCAAGGAGAACTACAAACCACTGCTCAAGAAAATAAGAGAGGACACAAACAAATGGAAAAACATTCCATGCTCATGGATAGGAAGAATCAATATCGTGAAAATGGCCATAATGCCCAAAGTAATATATAGATTCAATGCTATTCCCATCAAGCTACCACTGTCTTTCTTCACAGAATTAGAAAAAACAATACTTTAAATTTCACATAGAACCAAAAAAGAGCCTGTATAGCCAAGACAATCCTAAGCAAAAGTACAAAGCTGGAGGCATCACGCTACCTGACTTCAAGCTATACTACAAGGCTACAGTAACCAACACAGCATGGTAGCGGTACCAAAATAGATATATAGACCAATGGAACAGAACAGATATCTCAGAAATAACGCCACACATCTACAACCATCTGATCTTTGACAAACCTGCCAAAAAGAAGCAATGAGGAAAGGATTCTATATTTAATAAATGGTGTTGGGAAAACTGGCTAGCCATATGCAGAAAACTGAACCTGGACCCCTTCCTTACACTTTATACAAAAATTAACTCAAGATGGATTAAAGACTTAAATGTAAAACTCAAAACCATAAAAACCCTAGAAGAAAACCTAGGCAATACCATTCGAGACACTGGCATGGGCGAAGACTTCATGACAAAAACACCAAAAGCAATTGCATCCAAAGCCAAAACTGACAAATGGGATCTAACTAAACTAAAGAGCTTCTGTACAGCAAAAGAAACTATCATCAGAGTGAACAGGCAACCTTCAGAATGGGAGAAAATTTTTACAATCTACCCATTTGACAAAGGTCTAATATCAAGAATCTACAAGGAACTTAAACAAATTTACAAGAAAAAAAAAACCCTCAAAAAGCAGGTGAATGATGTAAACAGACACTTCTCAAAAGAAGACATTTATGCAGCCCACACACATATGAAAAAAACCTCATCATCACTGGTCATTAGAGAAATGCAAATCAAAACCACAATGAGATACCATTTCACACCAGTTAGAATGGCGATTATTACTAAGTCAGTAAACAACAGATGCTGGAGAGGATGTGGAGAAATAGGTATGCTTTTACACTGTTGATAGGAGTGTAAATTAGTTCAACCATTGTGGAAGACAGTGTGACGATTCCTCAAGGATCTAGAACCAGAAATACCATTTGACCCAGCAATCCCACTACTGGGTATATACCCAAAGGATTATAAATCATTCTACTATAAAGACACATGCACATACATGTTTATTGCAGCACTATTTACAATAGCAGAGATTTGGAACCAACCCCAGTGTCCATTAATAATAGACTGGATAAAGAAAATGTGGTACATATACATCATGGAATATTATGCAACCATAAAAAAGAATGAGTTCATGTTCTTTGCAGGGACATGGATGAAGTTGGAAGCCATCATTCTCAGCAAACTAACACAGGAACAGAAAACCAAACACTGCATGTTCTCACTCATAAGCTGGAGTTGAACAATGAGAACACATGGAAACAGGGTGTGGAACATCACACACCGGGGCCTGTCGGGGAGTTGGGGGCAAGGGGAGGGAGAGCATTAGGACAAATACCTAATGCATGTGGGACTTAAAACCTAGATGATGGGTTGACAGGTGCAGCAAACCACCATGGCACATGTAAACATATATACTTATGTAACAAATCTGCATGTCCTGCACATGTATCCTATAAAGTAAAAAAAAAAAAAACAAATCAATTGACATTGTTTAAGTAATAATTAACGACTCAAAGATATCATCCAAATATCTAGAATGGGATAAATATGAGATAGTTCAAACATTAAATAAGGGGGATACAAAACAAGATGTGTCTGATTTGATGAAAGGTAATTATACACTATTTTGTATGAATTACTTAATCTCTGTAAAACTTAGTATCATGGTTTGCAAAATGGAAAAATGATAATAATAATAATAGTACCTATCTCAAAAGATTGTTGTAGAGATTTAAAGAGTCGTAAATTGATTTCACACACCTAGAACCATGTCTGACAGATAGTAGGTGATGAATATGAAGTCTTATTGGGCATTAATATTAATGCCTAATTACTGCTTAAGATGTTGGCAGGAATGTGATTATCTTCTGTATCCCTACTGTAGATATTCTCTTAATGGAGGTTATTAAATTGTTTATCTTTCTTTCTATTTACATGGAGTCAACTCATCTGAATTTCTTCTTAAAATTAGTCTGGTATGCATGTCACTAATCTGGCACCTAGACCTTTTTGTAACTTTTGTGTGAGGAAATTATGGGAGAATAAATAAAACACATTTATTTAATTAAGGTTCCTGTTCAACTCAACACAGAATATTTACATATCTAAAAAGGATTACCTCTTCCAGGAGCATACGGCATGTAAGAAGAGAAAGGGCAATGCAACTAATGCCTGGCCTGTGTGACCTTTCTGAAGGTGGAACATTCTAAAGAGAGGTTTAGAGATTAGAGAGGCAGCCCTAAGGTTAATGACACAGTCAACACCAGTAATCTACAGGAAGCTAGTTAGGACAAACTATTTGGTTGGGAATCTAGAAATAATGTCCAAATATTATGTATCAAACTAGAAAATTTATGTTTTATTTTATGGCAAGGAATTGCTCACTACTGCTGTGAAGTGCAAGAACTAGTTCACAGCTAATTAGGTGCCACGGCAGCAGGAAAAGATCAAACATGGGACACAGAGAAGAGAAAAAAAAGGAAAAGTACATATTTCTGAACTCATCAATCCAATGGGACTTGAAGCCAATACAATTAAAATCCTGTAAGATGCATTCAAATAAGACAGAAAATCATTATTTCACAAACATATGGGTCATTAGATGCATAAAAGAACATAATGAAATATATAGAAAATGAGGGAAAAGTGAATAGAACAAACATAGCAACAACAGAAGTTTATATTCAGATCCACTAGGGATTAAATTTAATTTCTCCTCTTATTGGGCGCTGATATGAAAGTCCTCCCTATTTTTAGACATAATTATATCCCACAGCAGATCAAATATTCTTAATAGTGAAAAATCCCACCTAATTAACATCACCATCTCTTCATATCTACATTTTAATGGTAAAAATAAAATTGCTATTATTGATATAATCTTTAATTTCTGTGATGAATATTTTTATTCAAAAACTTTACTGGCTCTAAGCTAATTATTGAATTTCTCCACATATTAATGTGAAATCGTTATTAGAGACAGAGAGAAATGTGTTTAAGAGACATGCTTAGAATGAAAGTGTTATTTGGGACCCAAAAATTAATTTATTCTATCCCCTCATATTCTTATCCATTCAAAACATGTATGAAACCCTTAATGTGTAGCAGGTGAATTGTGCTAGGTGGTTCAGATTGCATAAGGAAGTCACTTTACCTGTTCTATGCTATTAATGTTCTAAAAAGCCTACATAAAATAAAAATATTGGTATAATATGAGAGAATGTGTTGCCATGCAACTCTATGTGGATTTGAAATAGAGAGAGAACATCAGCTTTAGGGATCTGGAAAGCCTTTATTAATATTTGAGGAGGGGCTTCAAAAATTGACAGGCTGTGTAAAGGTTGCATATTAGTCAGGGTTTTCTAGAGAAACAGAACCAACAGGAGACTCTGTGTGTGTGTGTGTGTGTGTGTGTGTGTGTGTGTGCGCACATGTGGGAAACACATAGGTGTTTCTTATTAGCTGGACTTTTATGTTTATTTTAAGTAACACTATATATTCTATGTGCACTTTCTCTCTCTCTAAATACACATACACATACACAGAGGGAGAGAGACATATATAGAGATAGAGATTTATTTTAAGGAATTAGCACACATGGTTGATTATAGAAACTGACAAGTCCAAAATCTGTAAGTAAGGTCAGCAAGCTGGAGCTCCAGCTCAAGTCCAAAGGAAGCCTACTAGCAAAATTCACTCTTCCTTGGGGCAGGTCAATCTTTTCTCATTTAAAGCCTTCAATGGAGGGCCACCCACATTATGGATTATAATCCAGTTTACTCAAAACACACTGATTTAAATGTTAGTCTCATCTTTAAAAATGTCTTCATAGCAACATCTAGACAAATTTTTGACCCTATATCGAGGTAGTGTGACCTACGTAAGTTGAAACATAAAGTTAACCATAACAAGTAGAGATAGAAGAAGGGCATTTTAGGTAGAGAGGCTGTGATTTAAAAAAAAGAAAGTGACAATGCAGAAAAGTTTGTTGTGGGATAAGAAACAAAGTGTGTTTCATGATATCTTAGTGTATCCTACTATTAATCAGATACACTATTCCAAACCATGATTCCTTTACTTCCAGTTGTTGGATTTTGAGAGATAACACAAACAAAAGGAACTTACACACACACACACACACACACACACACACACAAATCTTTTTATTTTTTTTTTAGTCTCCATTTTCCAGGTACCAATGGGAAGCCAATACCTGCTCCATTAGTGTGACATGAGAATTAAATGCAATGACATATGGAAAACTTCCAGCATAAAACTGGGTAAGAAGGCAGTGCTCAAGAGTTGAGAGGCAGCATAGCATAGCATTGTCATTAAAAGTCCAGACCCTGGAAAATGACAGAGCTCTAATCCTGGATCTACTACTAAGTAACCTTGCATAAACCGCCTAATCTCTGCTCTTGTTTCCTCTGCTGAAAATAAGTGAATTTTTTTTTAAGTCTCAGAACACAGCCAGTACACAGTATATGCCACATAAATGTTAACTATTAGTATGGGTAAGATGTCAGGATAATTTATTAGGCTAGTTCATGATGTTTTAAGTCATCATCATTAATCTTTAATTAATCTTGTTCTTGGAACTAACAGGAAACCAAAATATGACAAGATGGGCAAACCTTTTGTATTATGAGTTCTGGGTTCACTGACTCCAAGGAGTCAGTGGCTTGTATATATCATAGTATCTAAAACAAGAGTTGTTGGAAAACTAGAGGCCATTCTTCATCCAGGCCATTGTTTGGGAGCTAAGCCCACTTAAAAAGATAAAGGTGCACCTGTCATGGAGACAAAAGATGAAGGGAGGCTGGAAGAATGTAGCTTCAACCCCACTCAGTTGGGGAGGGTATTTGGGGATTTTCTATGAGTTGGGGGATCTCAGAGATTATTTTTGCAAGCATCAGATGAATAACTTGCCATAATCTTCCTTAAGACCATCAGCAAATGTCTTTGTTTTAAACCTGTTCAGTGGAAAGAAAAGCAGAGTGAACATCTCTGAAGCTTTCAAGAGTGGTCATGCTACATTCAGTGTATATAGGACTAATATTTGATAGCAGCATCATGTAACAGAAGAACTAATGGGGATGATGGAAAACATCAGGAGCTAATTAATAAAGGCCTGTTCCATTTTCTAGGTATCGTTTAAGCCCTCAGGACCCTTTCTAACCATTTCTAGGTAATGATGGCAGTGATGGTCCATGGGCCACACTTTGAATAGCATTTCTGGTCTCACGTGGCTTTTAAGAAAATCTCAGTTGTGCGTGGTGGCTCGCGTCTGTAATTCTAGCACTTTGGGAGGCCGAGACAGGTGGATCACCTGAGGTCAGGAGTTCAAGACCAACATGGTGAAACCTCGTCTCTACTAAAAATACAAAAATTAGCCGGGCCTCGTGGCGCATGCCTGTAATACCAGTTACTCAGAAGGCTGAGGCAGGAGAATCACTGGAACCCAGGATGCAGAGGTTGTAGTGAGCTGAGATCGCACCACTGCATTCCAGCCTGGGCAACAGAGCAAGACTCCACCTCAAAAAAAAAAAAAAAGACAATCTCTTGATATCTAGCTATTTTGCTCTCCATAGCTCTAATTTTTTTTATTATACTTTAAGTTCTGGGAGACATGTGCAGAACATGCATGTTTGTTACATAGGTATACATGTGCCAAGGTGGTTTGCTGCACCCATCAATCTGTCATCTACATTAGGTACTTCTCCTAATGCTATCCCTCCCCTAGCCCCCGTTCCCCTGACTGGCCCTGGTGTGTGATGTTTCCCTCCCTGTGTCCATGTGTTCTCATTGCTCAACTTCCACTGATGAGTGAGAACATGTGGTGTTTGGTTTTCTGTTCCTGTGTTAGTTTGCTGAGAATGATGGCCTCCAGCTTCATCCATGTCCCTGCAAAGGACGTGAACTCATCCTTTTTAGTGGCTGCATAGTATTCCATGGTGTATATGTGCCACATTTCCTTTATCCACTCTGTTATTGGTGGGCATTTGGGTTGGTTCCAAGTCTTTGCTATTGTGAATAGTGCTGGAATAAACATACGTGTGCATGTGTCTTTATAGTAGAATGATTTATAATCCTTTGGGTTTACACCCAGGATTGCTAGGTCAAATAGTACTTCTGGTTCTAGATCCTTGAGGAATAATAGCCACACTGTCTTCCACAACGGTTGAACTAATTTACACTCCCACCAATGGTGCAAAACTGTTCCTATTTCTCCACATCCTCTCCAGTATCTGTTGTTTCCAGACTTTTTAATGATCACCATTTTAACTGGAGTGAGATGGTATCTCATTGTGGTTTTGATTTGCATTTCTCTAATGACCAGTGATGATGAACTTTTTTTCATATGTTTCTTGGCCACATAAATGTCTTCTCTTCACTCTTAGAAAAGAACACAGAAGGAATTTTCTCATTAGCTGTGCTTTTTTATGTTTACTTTAAAGAATGCTCTATAGATATTTATTCTAAGTGCACTACTACATAGATATTTATTAATTATTCACTCATTCATTATACATTCAAATATTATTAACAACCAACTAAGTACCAGTCACTGCATTAAGCACTGGGAATACCATAATGGCAGGGAAAAGGAGTGATGTCATCTGATTTATGCAATAAAAAGCTAATTTTTCAACAAGCTCCCAATCAGCCACACAATCACCAAGGTAAACAACCAATACTGTATTTTACAGTATACTGTACACAATAAATTACATGAGCTATTCAACACTTTACTATAAAATAGGCTTTATGTTAGATAACTTTTCCCAACTGTAGGCTAATGTAAGTGTTCTCAGCACGTTTAAGGTAGGCCAGGTTAAGCTATGATGTTCGGTAGGTTTTGTATTAAAAGCATCTTTGACTTTTGATATGTTCTACTTACAATGGGTTTAACAGGATGCAACCCCCTTTTAAGTGCAGGGCCCTCTCTAGTCTGTTGAATACATGAATTTTGCAGGTCAAAGAGAGATTAACAGTGGGGCTATAGATGACATTTATTTATTGGATAATCATACTAATAACCTGTTTATTCTTCACATATTTGGGACCAAGGTATCTTGCTAGACATTGATGAAGAACACCAAAGCAAACAAGATCCATTCTTGCCTCTAGGGAATGTACAGGGAAAGCCTCATGATCACGTTTATTAAAGTAAAAAGGAAAATGAATATATGCGTGAATGCGTAAGTTTCTACCTCCATTAGGTGTAATGTAGTATGACATTTGCTATTTAGTAATGATTTATTTAAACTGAGTTAAGAAGCTCTTTGTAAAATCTGACATTACAGTACATTTTAGCACATAAGAAACCTGGAAGTTTTCAAGTTATATGCCTATTCTCTGGAGCTATAAACAGGCATGACTGTGCAGAGGGTCTCACTCATGACTGCACAAATCACATCGAGATTAAAAATAAATAACAGTGCTCAGATTCTATACCCCTGTACCCACAGATCTAGAATACAAATTAAATCATCTATTTTTTAAAGCCCCCACCCCCAGGTAATTCTCATTATATTTAGGACTGAAAAATACTGGCTAAAGGAAAAAGGAAATAATGTTTTAAAAAGCAGTTTAGATAACTGGGGTGGGAAGTTGAAAATCGAAAAAAGTGCCTGCAGCAGAGTTGTTCTAATTTTACCTGAGATCTAATGCACCCTCCAAACGAAGTATTCTCTAAACTAAGCATTCCCCAACTTTGAAACAGAGAGTCTGAGATTTCACCCTTCTCAGAAATTTAAGGTGCTTGTTCTAGCTCCTCCTCCAGTGAGAGAAGAACAAGAAGGCAATGTAACATATGGAATTAGCACATTATATTTTAATATGTTGTTTTCAAAGAAGAAAAGAAAGAAAAGAGTCATATGTGTGCCTTGAGGAAAGTTTGTTTGTGTAGTCATTTTTGTTGTTTTCTTTTTAACAAGAGTCTAAATGTCTATCTAACCTGAGCGAGAGTAGCTGTACTGGGACTGTCAATCTCGTAAATCTAAGAAAGGAGAGCGGCAATGTCAGTGTGGCAATAACATCACTATAGACAGTGTCAGTGACAGGGATGAATGTCAGTGTGGATGTGATGAGGGTGACAGTGATGGCAATGGAAAAGTTATACAAAAGTGACAAAGATTTGTCACTCATCTCCGTGGTGAGGCCGTGACTTCAGTGGCATTTCTAACACAGGGAAGAACTGACTGGATTTGCTGAGCATGGGGTATGCATCCCCTTAAGCATTTATCCTTTGTGTTACAAACAATCCGATTATACTTTTTTAGTTATTTTCAAATGACAATTATGTTATTATTGACTGTAGTCACCCTGTTGTGTTATCAAATAGTAGGTCTTATTATTCTTTCTAAATACTTCTTTTTTGTACCCTATAACCATTCCTACCTCACCCCACACACACAACCCCTGATCTTTTTAATTCATTCTAACCACTAAGTAGGAGTCATGTTTTTGGGATCAGATCTGACTTGGAGCTGATTGAAATATGGAAAAAATTAACAATTTTAATATCACAAAGAGTTCTATTTTTCAATCAATATAATCTGTGTATATGTACATTAGAAGATATGTATAAAAATAAAAAGTTTTGAATGATAAATACAAACAGCATCTTTTATATTTCTACATGTTTGAAGTTCCCACATAAATCAAATAAACACTCACTTTGAAAGAGACATTATTCTATTCTTGTTTATATATGTGCTTGAAAGCAGCACAAAGCAAGCCATTGAAAATATTTTAAAATAAAATGAGACTAGCTATTAAAGTACCCTAATATGTTATTAATTCAGATCATATTAATTTTATTTCATCAGTTTAATTTGTCTTTTTTACACACCTTTTAGCCGTTAGTCTAAATAATTTACTTTCTTTAAGTAATATTTTTCTTCTCCATACTGCTTTACTCTGTGGTCTTATCCAGTAAGTTGTAATTTACAGTGTATTAATGATTGTTGTTTTCTAGGAAATCTGAATTTTACTCAAGTTAAGAAACAGTTTTTCATTTCCATATGGATTATTTTTTTGTTTGCTATCTCACTTTGCTATTTATTTACTGTTTTATTACACTGTGACCAGAGAACACCTTCTGCATTATTTATACTTTTTCAAATTTATTGAGATTTTCTTTGTGGCATAACATATGAAAAATTTTTGGAAATGCATCATCAGCACTCAGAAAAAAAGAAGCTGACTTCTGGTATTTTCAGGGCACAGATTTCCATATATATACAAAAGTAATCTTATGAATTGTGTTATTTAAGTTTTTTCACGTTGGGCTTTTGCTTGACTCTGGTGGTACAAGTACTTCTACCAGCATTTACACAATTTGGAGATCGAATTTTCTCTCTTTGTTTCACTAAATGTGTAATTTTAGGGTTTGTTTTTATTTTTGTGTTGATTCTTTTTATTTCCATGAGCAGTGGAAAGAGTCAAATGTAGGGAAATGTGATTTTCTTACCAAAACCTAGTAAGATCCTACTAAATGAAAATTGGTGAAAATGTGAACAGCAGCTAAGTGGAAGCTTAGCTTTGGCTAACCAGCAACAACAACAAAACAAAAAGACAAATAATTTCCAATTCTTAAAGGCACTAAGATAGAATTGTTTCCCATTTAATGGGACTGATATAGTTAGGTCCATCCAAATCTTGAAGTTAATAAAATGTTTGTTTATTTAAAACATATATTCTGTAAAACAGATGTTTACCTATATTAAATTACCTTTACACTAATTATCCCCAACTAATGAGTCTTACCTCATTTGTCATGTGATACCTATGAATGAATCTATCAGGGCAACACAAGTTTTCAATAGAATGAATTAAATCAAATCCAATTTTTCATGACCAAATAATCTGTGAACTGACTTCAGGTTTTTTAGGGAATGCTTCTTAAACCACGTGAAACAAATCTTCCACTCTTGCCTGATTCTATAAATAAAAATTGGCATCAAAACTCCCAGGATATTAAAAAAAATTATAAATTATAATATGATACAACAAACTGAGACAATACTTGATATTATTTTCTCCTGTCACATAATTATAATTTTTGTCATCATTAAGAATACCAGTTTATGCAAAAAAAATTTTTTTTTAAAGTTAGGGCTTCTGAGTTCACAATTCCTTTTCTCAGCTAAAAAATTAGGAATATCTCTAAGTTGGTTCAAGCAGGCACCATTCTTTAAGTGGCTTTCCTGCAGCTGCTATTTCATTGCCTCTTGGCTGAGCCAACCTTTGCCAGTGGCATAAGCACTTCGTCACAGTCAATGAAACTGATAAATGAAGTACCCTTATGTAAGCAGGAACTATTAATAAAACTGCTCTTAATGGGTGGTCTGACTGCTTGTACCATGCACACTCATATACTGACATACAGGAAGAAATAAAGGACTTATTCATCCTTGTTCTTTATTGATCTGCATGACAGTTTTACTTTATGGACAAATACTAGAGCTAAATTTTGTAGTTTATTGTCTTGGTCAAAACGTTTGCTCTCTTTCTAACATATGTAATACATCATTAAAAAAAAGAAAGTAAATGCACTTAGTTTCGCCTATATGAGGCAATGATAACATGTGATTTGTTGCAAACAATTTTTTCTTTGTTCTAACAAAGAGAAAATTCTTTGTCAGCAGAGAGAAAGAAAATAATTTATGTAGTGTAGAAATGGCTTGGTGATTTAAAAGCCAAACTGATGATTTTTTAAAAGATAAATACAATCACATGGTGTATATTATTTTAAAAGGTACTCTGGCTTATAGATCAACACTAACATTTTTTCCATTTTAATATTTTTTTTTCCTAATAATTTTTGTAAGTCTGTCCCTTGAAAACACTTTGTCTACAGAAAGGTCACAAAAACAGGCTCTCATATTATCTTCTAGAAAACATTATCTTTTAACTTTCTAATTAAGGTTTATAATCTAATCTGTTATAATTTGCTTTGTGACCACAGAAGTGCCAATTTATTAAATCTCCCATGTGTACTTGAATAGACTATATAAATACTTTATATTTGTTAGATATAGTGTTTTATTTAGGTAAATAAAGCCAAGTTTACTAGGTTGTTTAAATTTTCTACTCAGTGTTTTTTCAGTTTATTTCTTCTTTCAATTCTGTCAACTTTTTCTTTAAATATTTTAAAACTGTTGTGTATGAATATACATTTAGGATTTTAATACATTTCTTTTAGATTGATCCTGATTTTTTTTTTTTTTAAGACAGAGTCTTGCTCTGCTGCCCAGGCTGGAGTACAGTGACACGATCTCGGCTCACTGCAACCTATGCCTCCCGGGTTCCAGTTATTCTCCTGCCTCAGCCTCCTGCGTAGCTGGGACTGTAGGCGCATGCCACCATGCCCAACTAATTTTTGTATTTTTAGTAGACACGGGGTTTCACCATGTTGGCCAGGATGGTCTTGATCTCTTGACCTCGTGATCTGCCCGCCTCGGCCTCCCAAAGTGCTGGGATTACAGGCATGAACCACCACGCCCAGCCCCTGATTTTGTTATTAAATATTTCTCCTTGATTTTAGTAATGCATACTGGCTTAAAAACTACTTTGGTACTACTCTTTCTATACCAGGTCCCTTTTGGTTAATGCTTGCATAGTTTCTATCATTTTATTTTTAAATGCTTTCTCTCCTGAATTTGTCTTTTAAAACCAGTATACAGTAAGCTCTTTTTTTATTATTCCATTAGAAATTTTTGCTATTTATTTAGAATATCTTGTGCTTTTACTTTAAATGGATTATTAATTTATTTGTGCCTTAATCTACTACTTTTTTTTTTTTTTTTTTTGAGACAGAGTTTCGCTCTTGCTGCCCAGGCTGGAGTGCAATGGCGCTATCTTGGCTCACCACAACCTCTGTCTCCTGGGTTCAAGTGATTCTCCTGCCTCAGCCTCCCAAGTAGCTGAGACTATAGGCATGTGCCACCATGCCCGGCTAATTTTGTATTTTTAGTAGAGACAAGGTTTCTCCATGTTGGTCAGGCTGGTCTCAAACTCCTGACCTCAGGTGTTCCGCCTGCCTCGGCCTCCCAAAGTGCTGGGATTACAGGAGTGAGCCACTGCGCCTGGCCTCTTAATCTACTTTTTATTTGTTTTTTAATGTTCTCTCCTTTCTTACTTTTTTTTTCTCTATTATTACCTTATTATTTAATTTCACTATTTTTTAGTTTTTTAGATATACACGACTTTTTTCTTTGATTTACAATAGAGAATACAATGTGCATTTTTAATTTATGAAAATGTATTAAGTACTTTTAGATCTCCTGAAAATTTCCAAAGACTTCTAATATTTTAACTACAATTAATCTGCCATCTTGCATGTTTTGGTGGCATGTATTTCCATTTATACCTACTGATCTACTAATTTATATACATATTTAAGGAACAAAATATATCTTATATTGCTTTTACAGTCAATATTTATTTAGGTTTATTCAGATATGAAAATTAGAACACATTACTGATTCCAAATAGGTTATTTTATGTTCTCACCAATAATGTAGGAATGTTCAAGTTGTTCCTCATTGTTGCCAACATTCGGGTTTATCCGTTTTTATTTATTTTTTACAAATCCATCCATTAGAATGTAAAGGAACTCTCAATGTGAACACCTTTTTACACGTTTTGCAATTATTCACATATCTCCTTTTATGAATTGTCAGTCTGTACATTTGCTGATTTTTTAAACTGGGTAACTGACATTTTATTGTTAATTTTTAAGAGTTGTTTAAATATTAAAGAAAATCTTTCTTTGCCATGTGTATGACAAAGAACTAGATTTACAGTGTACATATTATATATAACAATAATTACATTAAGTTAAATATACAATTTAAATAGACATGGGAAACAATAGTTTCCACAATGTATGTAAATTGCCTATTTTTAAAAATGCATATTTTGTAGTGCAGAAAACTTTAAGTTCAATTTATCATTTTTCCTTTCATGGTTACTGCTGTTTGTTTTCTATGAAAAAATTGTGCTTGTATTAATACTGTGAAAATATTTTTGACTTTTTTTAGAAACTTTCTGTTTTAGACGTATAAGTGTATTTCATTTATCTCAAATTCATTTTCATGACCTTGTATCTGCCAAATTTTAAAATTCAGTTATTAATTCTGTTCATTACTTTTAGATTACTTTGGAGTCACACATGCTACTGTGTGCTATGAGGACTCCTTAGTTTAGATTATTTTGGATGTTTCTTACATATAATCACATCATCTGCAAATACAGACAGCTGTACTTCTTCCATATATGTATATACATACATACATATATATATATATATATATATATATATATACACACACACACACAATTTTTTTCTTGATTTCTTTAGGAAGGAACTCCAGGGTATGGCCAAGTAGGGATGATGGTAGTGAATATCATTGTCTTATTTGAGATCTTAAGAGAAAGTGTTCAATACTACATCACAGAATATAATATTACTGTAGGAATATTGTAGGTATCATTTGTGAGATTCTGTTTTCTTTTCTTAGTTTACTAAAAGTTTTTTATAAGAATTTTGAAATATTTCAGGTATTTTTTGTGCATCTAGAGTTATAACTTTTACCTTAACTATGTTAATGTGTTGAATTACATTGATTTTTCAGAAATTTTAAACCATTTTTGTACTCCAAGGATAAACACTACTCTTTTGGCTCATTTGTTTTAATGTTAAACAGTTCTTGTATTACTACTATAAATTAAAATTGGCTATGAAGTGTTCACTTAAAAAATGTTTCTGTTCTTAGGAAAAGAGGAAGTCAAATTGTCCCTGTTTGCAGATGACATGATTGTATATCTTATGGCTAATCTTTTAAGGTGCTGACATATAGTTTTGCATGATATGTGCCTATAATTTGCATTCTTGTAATATCCTTGTCATGTTTTGTTACCAGAATTTTTCTGGCTTCATAAAACAAGTTGTAAAGTGCTCCCTTTTATTTTCTTCATGGATATGTTTGTTAAAAACAAAAGATTAATATTATAATCTCTTATGTGTTTAAAATTATGCACCTCTAAAGCCATCCAGATCTGAAATTTTACTTTGGGGAGTTTTAAAATTGTGAATTCAAAATTTTAATGGATATAAATTTGTATATATATATTTTCTATTTGTTTTTTCATTATTGTCTTGGTTACTTGTGTTTTTCAAGCAATTTGTTAATCCTAAATTACCAAATATTGGATATAGCTATTCTTATTCATATTCTCTTGTTATCTTTTAACTGTATAGGATATGTAAACATGCAATTTTTTGACCTTGATTCTTACCATTTGTGTCTTCTCTGCCTTTAATACTGATTAGCCTTGCTATGGATCAAATTTACTTTTGTCTTCAAATATTCAAATTTGGACTCATTAATTTTATCTGTTTTAAATTCCCATTTTTTATTTATTTTATTACTTACTTTTTCTACTTCCTTGGATTTCAGTAGCTTTATTTTACATTTTGGAGTTAAAAGTTCATATATTTGATTTTAAATCTTTCTTATTTTCAAATATGTATACTTGAAGCTCTAACGTTGTCTCTAAGTATGATTTTAAAATATTTTTATTACCATTCAACTGAAAACATTTTCTAAATTTTTATACTTTGATGTATTCCTTATCTAAAATGTATTATTTAATTTCCAAATATTTGATGATTTTATACTTATATTTTTGTGATTGAAATGTAATTCTTCAGTGATTAGGAAATATTCACGGTATCACTTCTACCTTTAGCAAGAGACAGAGAAAGGGAGAGAGAGAGACTTGCCTTATGGCCCAGAATATGATATATTTTTGGAAATAATCTATGTGCATGTAAAAGAGTATGTATCCTCTAAAGCTTGATTATTTTTGCAAACCAATGAATATAATTCATGACATTATCATGTGATATATAGTGTTCTAATTTTGTAAATTGGCTATTTAGATTATCTTATTATTCAAGTCTTTTATATCCTTATTAGCTATTTGCCTTCTCCTTTATTAATTTCTAACAGAAAAGTATTAAAACCACCAAATAGGAATTTGGCTTTGTCTATCTCTCCTTTCATCTTCATCTTTTTGTCATCTTTTTCTTTAAATATTTTGAAACTATATTAGTGTGTATACACTAATTTCATATACTTTAATTTAATTTTCATGTTAAGTTTATCATTTTATTAATGTGAAATGATAAATTTCTTCTTACCTTAAATTCTACTCTCTATAATCTTAATTATGTCATACTAGCTTCCTTTTGGTTATGTTTATATAGTATATTTTCCCCATGCTTATAAACTCCAACTACATGTGTCTTCATATTTAAAATATGTTTTTAAAACAAATTTTATTGTGTGTATTTGAGGTTTATAACATGATGTTATGGGATATATATAGAGTAAAATGATACTATAGTCAAGTAAGTTATGTGTCATCTCACATACTTTTTTGTGACAAGAGCAGCTGAAATCTATTTATTTAACCAAAATCACAAATATAATACAATTTTATTAGCTGTAGTACTCATGCTATACATTAGACCTCTAGACTTGCTCATCCTACATATCTGCTTCTTTGCATTCTACGACCTACATCTTCCCATTTTCTTCCCCTGCTCCCCTTCTCGCCCCTGGTCACCATTGTTTTATTATCTATACCTGTGTATTGATCTTCCTTTTTTCTTTTTTTTTTCAGGTTTTTCATATAAGAGAGATCATGCAATATTTTTCTTTCTTATTTCACTTAGCATAATGTCCTCCGGGTTCATCCATGCTGTTGCAAATGCTAGGATAGCCTTTATTTCTAAGGCTAAATAATACTCTCTCTTTTTTTTTTTTTTTTTTTGAGACTTGAGACGTCTTGCTCTATCACACAGACTGGAGTGAAACGGCTCACTGCCACCTCCACCTCCTTGATTCAAGCAATTCTCGTGCCTCAGCCTCCCGAGTAGCTGGGATTACAGTCACGTGCCACCATGCCCAGCTGATTTTTGTATTTTTAGTAGAGACGGGGTTTTGCCATGTTGGCCAGGCTGGTGTTGAACTCCTAACCTCAAGTGATCCAGCCACCTCGGCCTCTCAAAGTGCTGGGATTACAGGCATGAGCCACCGCGCCTGGCCAGTAATACTCTCTTGTATACATATATATTTTTATATCCATTTGTCCATCAGCAGACATTCAAGTTGTTTACATTTCTCGGTTATTATTCATAATGCTCCAATGAACTTGAATGTGCAGGTTTCTTTACAAGGTGATGATTTCATCTCCTTTGGGCATATATATACCCAGAAGGAGAACTGCCAGGCAGTGTGGTAGTACTATATTTAATATCTTTAGGAACCTCCATACTATTTTCCATAATGGCTGTACCAACCTGCATCTTCACCAACAGTGTGCTAGGCTTCCTTTTTCTTCACACCTTTGCCTACATATATCTCGTCTTTTTTATAATAGCTATTTTAATTTGTGAGGTAATTTCTCATAGCAGTTTTATTTAAGAATGCTTCCTAAAGGTAGCATAGATTTCATATTATTTCTTCAAACTGTCTTTAATGGAAAGGGTCAAAGGAGAACTCCACACTTCCCACATAATCAACCTCCTCTCTCCCCCTACCCATGCATCCACTGAGTCTAAAGGCTGTTAAAAACCTCTGTACATCTGTTAATCACTGATGCTCTTCCCTCTCCCATCATCTTTTCACAATCATTGTCTGTTTGAAACAATCAGAATTAATGTTACCATACCTTTTATCACTGATCTTTGTCAGTCACTCTAAGTAATCCAGATGTCGTATCCATAGCTATTCTGAAGTTCTCATATAGTTTCATACATTCACTTTTCAGACTGCATTAATACCCCTTCCAAGATGCCTCTAGACTGAGCAGCAAACCCTCTGTATCTTTAACTTCTCCAATCTTTGTGTTCTTAATCAAATGAAAACTTTTTCTTCACGTTCTTACTCTTCACTAAGAATACTGTTTGCCACCCTAATTAAGCGTAGATATTTATCTTGCTGCCTCCTTTATATTAGTGTGTCTGGAAGGATGAAAGGTGTCATCCTTGCCCCTTTTTTTTGCTACATCCTAACAACTTTTAGAATATATATATATATATATATATATATATATATATATATATATATATATATATATTGCTATTCTTTATTTTAGATGCAAAGGATACATGTGCAGATTTGTTAATCTCATCTCTCTTAAAGTAAAATCCCAATTTTGAATTTTCAACCATCAGACTACACAACCCAGCATCATTTATTTTCCTAAAATTAACTTACTTGTGACAATCCCGGCAGGATATGCATGCACATTCCAATTAGACAATTTAGAAGTTTACTAAAGAGACTACTGCCATGTGCTGCATAACAGTGACAATGTGTTCTGAGAAATGCATTATGTGACGATTTTTTTTCATTTTGAGAACATCACAGAATGTACTGACACAAACCTAGAAAGTATAACCTATACATTAGGCTATTTGATATAGCCTATTTCTCCTAGGCTTCAAACCTGTATGGCATTATTACACTAAATACTATAGGCATTTTTAACACAATGGTATGTATTTGTGTATCTAAACATATCTAGGCATAGAAAAGGTACAGTTAAAACATGGTATTATAATCTTTTGGGACCACTGATAAACATGTGGTCCATCCTTGACTGAAATGTTCTGATGAGGCTCATGACTGCATGTGCAAAATGTGTTGATAGGGTTTCAGGATATCAACACAGAATAGCGCATTTCACTAGGACTAGCAAAATAACAACACTGGGGAGCTATCACCACTTCTAAGCCTCAAGGCAGAAGATGAAGGAACATTTATAGAAGCCAAGAGTCTACAACAGCCATGAGTTTTGACTTTGGGATAAAGAGTGAATACAACATATAGCTTCCCAGTAGGAAATGGGCAAGAGAAATAAAATTTCCACTCTCACTTTTCTCTTGTCCTCAGTCTTACATTTACTGAAACTACAGAGGGCAAAAGACAAGAGAGCCCATTAAGACTATCCTGATAAGTAAGCCTTTGGGAGCTCAAAGCTTTGTTTTAAGAATTTGGGGGCTGGGCGCGGTGGCTCACACCTGTAATCCTGGCACTTTAGGAGGCCGAGGCAGGCGGATCACAAGGTCAGGAGATTGAGACCATCCTGGGTAATGCAGTGAAACCCCGTATCTACTAAAAATACAAAAAATTAGCCGGACTTGGTGGCAGGCGCCTGTAGTCCCAGGTACTCGGGAGACTGAGGCAGGAGAATGGCTGAACCCGGGAAGCGGAGCTTGCAGTGAGCCGAGATCGTGCCACTGCACTCTAGCCTGGGCGACAGAGCAAGACTCCGTCTCAATTAAAAAAAAAAAAAAAAAAAAAGAATTTTGGGTTTTTCTTTGAGAAAAATTTCCTGTCCTGACTTGTTATTGGGTTTTAAAGATCCATCATCTGTTGGCAAATGATGATGTTCTAATGGCACTGAATTAAGTTTATCAAGAGGCATACACACCAAGTACCACATCATTATAAAGTTAAATAGTTAGAAATGAGACTTGGCAAGAATCTATGTTTTATATGTAAGCAGTGTGAAACCTTGCTCAAATTCTCAGCAGGCTCACTCCTGCCACATTGATGTTCTTCCCTCCACTTACAACCGTGAGAACATGACAGATGAGAGGGAAGTATACACAAGCCTAGAACAAAGATGCCTCTGTATGATATGCAGCATTAGCCAGAAGGGGAATTCTGTGGCTTTTTAGTCATAGCCAAGTTGACAGTAAAAGACAGTAGAGTAGAATATTCCTCACCTTGAGTTGAGCTTGAATTAACTCCAATTCCACTTTGTTTGGAAGAAGAGTTGCCCTGAGGTGGGGTTCAACCTAGAATAATGGAAAAGGCCAGTGTTTATTTGAGATGTATCTAGAATGCCTTCTATTTTTTTTTCAATTGTACAAATGCAATGTATTCTCTACTATTAGTTTCATATGCTTCCCCTTCTATGAAGTCTATGAACACCACTTCCACCTGCACTGACTCTCACTATGATCTCAGACACACAGAAGGAAGGACGTCACTGCAATGGCTACAAAGAGACTGGGGAAGAATATGGATGGACCTATGTCTGCCACTTTTCATCCAATCTCTCTCATTCACCCTTTCCTCCTATTCAATTTAAGGTCTACCCTTCCACTATATTCAATAATGTCAAAGCTGCAGCAAATACTTAGGCTTCATATTTCTTCAACTTCACCATCTTTCAGACAATTAGAGTCATATAATCATTAAATGATAGAAAATCCAGGACTAGAACCTAAAATGTCCTAGCTCATTTCTACCCCTTTTTAAGTATTTTTCACTGACATTGAACGCTATTGAACTTTTTTTCTTGCTATGACAAAGTGACATCATGTATGGCACACTTCAGTGTGCATGTTCACATATATACTTATTCTGACAGACATTTGCTCAAAATCTAACCTTATTTTTCTGATGCCAAAATCTATATTAATAGACAAAGTGATAAAATATCTTCATTAGAGTAACAAGCTTTGTCATATGTTGTTTTTGTTAAAAATTAAATTTATCAGCTTTGAGTTTATTATTCTATATTTATTCATTATCTTATTCATTTATTTAACTTATCTATTCAACACATATCTATCTAGTCAAATACTATCTAGACACAGGACTAGTGGTAAATTGTATGTGATAGACTTCAAAGTAATAATTATGAATCAGCATATTGTGACTTATTGATTAAGACTCCTAGATAAGATCATAATGATTATGAGTTTGGGGTAGGGAGAGATTTGTCCAGTCTGAGATGGGGTGTGTGAATTCAGAAATAAAGTTGGATTTACATTAATCATAGAAAGTTGATTAGGTTCATGTAATCAGAGAGAAGAGGGGGCATTCCAGGATATTTGATCATGTATTAATTACATATTTAGCAATGTGAGTTTATTAATATAGTTAATACATGGAAAGATAATCCATATTTACAAGCTGTTTTTCACGTAAAATGCAGAATTCTGTTTAACAATCTTTATTCTCACTATGGAAATTCAGTTTAAATAAACATCTCAGAAATTTTTAAACAAAAACAAAATTCTTGTAAAGTAAACAAAGTGTAGTCCACAGATCTCTGTGTACGGTGAGTCTGGAGTCAGTTTAATAAGCAAACTGTCAACGTGCCTAGTTTGGCATTTGAATTAATAAGACAAGAAAAGTCTTATTTCACCTACATGATCCTCATTAATAGGTTAAAATGTGGCATGTGCAGGTTCATTCAAAATCATTGCTACAGTCTATGAAGGTAAATATTCTTTGCTGCTTCAGATGTTGACATAAATCTTCCCAAATATTTTTGATTGTCTTCAGTAGAGATTCTCAGCTGCTAAATATTGATGAGTCTTGATTTTGCCTTTTTGTGAAGGGCATATCAAACGGCATTAAAAGAAAATCACAGCCATCATGACAACATGAGAGTATTATTAGATGTTTTAATGAATATAAAAATGCACATAGAGGAAATCCACTATCTTTTACTTATGTTGGTAGTTCATTTGGCTCTGGTTGATTTGAATGCTGTTATTGATTTTATTTTGATGGACAGAAAATCTGTAATATATAAACAACTAAAATAGCTCTGTTAGCTCCACTTTTACCACGTTGCTCTATGTGGAATCAGTTATAAGACATATTGAAACATGTCATATATATAAAAGTTCTCATGCACAAGAATTTGCTTAATGAGAATGGTATATAAGCACTGTGTTTTTCTCAAGTCTCAAAGAGATTTACTAAAACAGTAAATACCATTAACCTCTTCCAAAGGATAATCTATGAAATTATTTTTAAATTAAATGCACCATAGAAACACTGTGGATATTTCATCTCTAATCTTTCCTTTTTTGGTATGGAGTCTCACTCTGTCACCCAGGCTCGAGTACAATAGTGCGATCTTGGCTCACTGCAACTTCTGCCTCCTGGGTTCAAGCAATTCTCCTACCTCAGCCTCCTGAGTAGCTGGGATTACAGGTGTGCATCACCATGCCCCGCTAATTTTTGTATTTTTAGTAGACACAGGGTTTCACCACGTTGGTCAGTCTGGTTTGGAACTCATGACCTCATGATCCGCCTGTCTCAGCCTCCTAAAGTGCTAGGATTACAGGCGTGAGCCACTGTAATCTCTAATTACAGTGCCCGGCCTTTCATCTTTAATCTTAAATCCTGAAAGTTAAAATGGAGTTTAATTTATTTCATGTCAGGCATAGGAATTTTGACAAAACATATAGAAAATTTCCACTGAATCAAAAATTGAATCAAGGATACCAAAGCAAAGTATCTGTTTTGGCAAACAAACATCAATATCTATTTGACATCAGCTTTATCATGTAATGTCAAATTATGCATAAGTACATATAATACACACATATGTATGTATATGGAATTTAATTATGCAGTAAGTATTTTATATCTGCTTATATATAGGAAAGACAAAAAATCATATATTTGTCAATGAATCAAAACTTTTCCAGCTTTAATGATAGAAAATAAATTATAAAGAACATACGTTGCCTTCTATTATCATTTGTTTCTAGACAAATACTTAACTTACAAACCTCATAAATTACAGTAGTTGATCAACTGTTGCATTTGGGAAATCCAAGTCTTCCACAGTCTATCATTTCTTAATCTAGGTAAGTCACAGACAGTTGTGAGAAATTTTATCAAATCATCTCTCTGGACCCTCTCAGTAATTTAGAAATCTGAGATTGGGTCCAATTAAGTTAAAAAAAATTTTTAAGCCTAAGTGTTTCAGGTTTGCAGATAAGTTGTAGGCAATCACATAATCACATACAGTGGTAGATTTTCACAGAATTTCCTGAAGAATTTTTCCCCAATTATGTATTACTCATGGAATGAAGTTAGATGAAGTCAGAAAGGACAGATTTAGGTCCAAATCCTATATTTGGCTGTGCTATACTAACTGTGTGACCATGGAACAACTACTTAAACTCTTAGGGCATTCATTTTATCACTTATCAAATGGAAATTATAGAACCTAGCTCATAGGTGTGTTGTACTAAATTAAATGAAGAAATAAATCTAAATATGACTAAAATAATGTATTTATAGAATCTAAACTGAATTCATGGAAATTAATTGAATTTGGAGCACATTTCATTTAATTAACCAAATTATCCAGATAAATTGACTGCTTGACAGATTATTTCTGATTAGAGTTACAGAGAAAAATGTCTTAGTTTTACAGTCCTAATGCCCAGTAAGTCTAATTTTATCACTTCAATTTCACAGTAAATAAACATTACTGAAGTGTGAAGAATGTTTTGATCTAATATTTGGTGCAGTATGATTATATTCACTTCAGTAGATCAAAATAAAAACAATGGTATTGAATTATTATATATCTGAACCACATTGTATATCATATATACTATCAGGCAGTAATTAGTTGTGAGGAGGAAAATCTATTATACTTCAATAACAATAAATGGACATTCTGAAAACTTGGAAAGCTAGTAAATAAAATGTTGTTTATATAACTGAGAGAAGCATAATAAATGCTGAGAGAAAAAATATCTATTACTATATATACTTTTTTTATTATTATACTTTAAGTTCTGGGATACATGTGCAGAACATGCAGGTTTGTTACATAGGCATACACATGCCATGGTAGGTTGCTGCACCCATCAACCCCTCATCTACATTAGGCATTTCTCCTAATGCTATTCCCTCCCTTAGCCCCTCAACCCCCGACAGGCCCCGTTGTGTGATGTTCCCCTCCCTGTGTCCATGTGTTCTCATTGCTCAACTCCCACTTATGAGTGAGAACATGCGGTGTTTGGTTTTCTGTTCCTGTGTTAGTTTGCTGAGGATGATGGCTTCCAGCTTCATCCATGTCCCTGCAAAGGACGTGAACTCATCCTTCGTTATGGCTGCGTAGTATTCTATGGTGTATATGTGCCAAATTTACTTTATCCAGTCTATCACTGATGGGCATTTGGGTTGGTTTCAAGTCTTTGCTATTGTGAACAGTGCTGGAATAAACATACGTGTGCATATGTCTTTATAGCAGAATGATTTATAATCCTTTGGGAATATACTCAGTAATGGGATTGCTGGGTCAAATGGTATTTCTGGTTCTAGATCCCTGAGGAAATGCCACACTGTCTTCCACAATGGTTGAACTAATTTACACTCCCAACAACCGTGTAAAAGTGTTCCTATTTCTCCACATCCTGTCCAGCATCTGTTGTTTCCTGACTTTTTAATGATCGCCATTCTAACTGGTGTGAGATGGTATCTCATTGTGGTTTTAATTTGCATTTCTCTAATGACCAGTGATGATGAGCTCTTTTTCATATGTTTGTTGGCCGCATAAATGTCTTCTTTTGAGAAGTGTTTGTTCATATCCTTCACCTACTTTTTGATGGGGTTGGTTTTTTTCTTGTGAATTTGTTTAAGTTTCTTGTCGATTCTGGATATTATCCTTTTGTCAGATGGATAGATTGCAAAAATTTTCTCCCATTCTGTAGGTTGCCTGTTCACTCTGATGATATTGATATTGCTGTGCAGAAGCTCTTTAGTTTAATTAGATCCCATTTGTTAATTTTTGGCTTTTGTTGACATTGCTTTTGGTGTTTTAGTTATGAAGTCTTTGTCCATGCCTATGTCCTGAATGGTATTGCTTAGGTTTTCTTCTAGGGTTTTTATGGTTTTAGGTCTTATGTTTAAGTCTTTAATCCATTGAGTTAATTTTTGTATAAGGTGTAGGGAAGGGGTCCAGTTTCAGTTTTCTGCATCATATATACTTTTAAACACATACATATACATATAGATTTTTGAATATTGATTGAAAAAACAAATGTATTTATTAAACAAGTATTCACAAATGTCAGACATAATGTTAGGCAATGTTTTAGATACAGAAATTAACAAACAGAATAAAACATATTCAACAGAGGAGATTTGTATGCATAATATTATTAAGACTTTTGAAAGATGCAATGCATTATAGAAATGACACACACATTTATAGGACTGAGGTAGCTAAATCTGGCATTATTTTAGCATAATCTAAAGATTTCTGTTCTGTTTTTAAAATGTCCAGTTAACATTTTTGTTCCCTAGTCACATATACACATGTTCTAAAATAGAGCTGAGAAGTCTAGATTTCTTTTTTAAGTTTCCCTTTGCAATTGTAACGGATGAATATTTGGAAATTACTACTGACAGATTTCAGAAGATGGAGATTTTTTTCTGTTGGTAGGTCACGACGTATCTTTAGCTGTGTTAGTACAGAGTACACACTAACGTGAAAACTGCCACTGTTATTGTTATTTGCTCCTGATTGCTTAATATATAAATGTTATGGTGGTTTTTTCTTAATAGCTGTGAAATTTTATTCTATATTAATAATTCTTCAATTATATCTCATTTTTCTTCCTATTTTGTAATAAATATTCTTCCCCCATTCATGACCCATCCAAGAATGGAAGATGCTATTTCTTGTTTTGACAATATTGCATTACACTAGCTAATATATCACTTAAATATCCAGAAAAAAAAGGATGTATTTTTTAGTTATGTTTAGAAAGAGCTAGAATTTTACCACAGCCTAATCTGTTTCAATATTTTTATTAATTTATCTCTAGTGATGTGCAATTGATATTTTCTGTCTCCTTTCCATGTTTAAAACTTTATCTTCTTCAGTGTTCCAATAAGGAACTTTCATTATAGTTATACTGAACACCTTTGTGTTCTTCAAATATGCTATATTATTCCAAGCCTCTGTGACTTTGCATATGCTATTCCCTGCTTTATCTCCCTGGTCGACATGAACTCACACTTTAATACTAAGTTCTTGAACGTGCATGCCCTTTAGAGGCAGAGTTTCTCTCTATATAGATCTATTATCACACTCATCACACTGTATTGTAATTGTGTACCAACTCCTTGACAGAAGGGATATATCTTTTTCGTCTTATTGCCAGACCCAGCATAATTTCAGATATATAAATATACTTTGTTAAATGAATGAATGAATATTTTAAAATATGCTTTTATTTCTAAATAAGATAGAGGAACTACATTAAAAACTCTTAAGTGAACTCTAAAATATATCTTTATTTTGATGAAGAAATTAAATATGATGTTAATAAAGTTACCAGTTCCAAAATCAAGAATTTAACACAATTAATATGTATCTAATGCTTAGTCATATAAAAGTAAACTTGGATAACACTGTGTATTTGAATAGTGAGATAAAAGCAGTATCTTAAATTTAGAAGTGTGACTTCTTATTTCTGAATTTCCTAGTATATTATAAAAACAGGGATTTTGTGTTTATGATTTTATACGCATATATATAAACTTTTAACAGCTTACAATTACAGAGCTTCAGAAAGAAACTGTTTAAAGACCAAAAAATCCCACTTTTTTTCATGAATCTTATAATTGGAATTACATTGCTTTTAAATAATTTATTGCTGTACATCATTTCCTCAGAAGCGTTCAGAGAGGCAATTGGTATACCACTTAGGTTACCTAACCGAGTCCCTTGCTCTCATGATATGAATGACTACCATTTATATGGAGGTGCTGTAAAACCACGGCTATTGTTAATTCATATAGTTTTGCTTTCTCCGTTTTTTTTCACAGTATGAAATTAGAATGCCAAGAAATACCAGGTTTTTTTTTTCCATTTCCAAGGCAAGTAAACAAGTATTCATTCAGTTGACTTTATTCGTTAAAAGTTATCAATAGACTTTATGGCTTTGTCTAAATGTCACTAAAAGTACCATTTGACAGCTGTTCCCTAAGGACTAAGAAAATTTGGTCTAGAAATAGAATTTGGCAGTACTTTATGTGGATGATGCTCCAGGGGTTTTTTCACAGGCAAGCCTTTCAAAAAGTGCAGGGTTTCATTATTCCTTTTAAAAATTTGTATCATTATTATTTAACGTTTCTTTTGATTGGGAACAAAGCACCTCATGCGGTTAAAATCACTAAAAGCAAAATCCAAAGTATTTGGGTACATATCTTAAAGCATGCTACACTTAACTGTTCTGACAGGGCTGCTGACAACTAATATTGCTTCTATGCTCTTGTACTTCTGTCTTGCTGTTTCTGCTATTCCCTAATAAGGTCAGTATCCCAAACACTACCTGGGTATTGAAGAAGACCTATCAGAAATTATTGCTTTGGGTAACTGGTAAACCAGTGACAGCTTAGGAGGTGTCACACCATGATGCATCTGTCAGATTCTGGCAGAAGCATTGTTTTCAATAAACTCAGCTTCAGTCTGCTAATTCAAGTGCATTTCTACCACTGTGCTAGGAACAATGAGCTTTTCTTGTTTAATATTATTATTTGTAAATATTTTTCGATGCCTTAGTTTTAAAGTATTTCCTTACAAAATAATGACACAATTCTTTATCCAGAAATGTTTTACAGAATGATTTGGCCTTACTAGTCTTACTTTTCCAATAAGGAAACAGAGTAAGAAAATTAAATTACCACGGTTACAAAACTAGCAAATGCCAGAGCTGCTGCTGGACTTCCAGTTTCCTAGATTCTATTCCAGTTGTTCATTCCATTTATCAACCCAGGAGTTACTTCTCTAAGCCTCAAACTGGAAAAGAATCCTAAATTGTATGTCATAATACATTGTACATTTCCTTTATGTCACTTACCACAATTTTCTTTAAATACTTGTTTATATATTTCCTCCTCAATAGAAAATGGGCTTGAGAAGAATGTTTCTGTTCTGTCACCACTAGAAACATAACATCACTCAGTGGTATTTGTTGACTAGTATACAGCAGTAAGAAGGAGGCAGCCCAAAACATTTTTCTTGATATGATTTTAAGAACAGCTTTCTGCTTTGCTTCTCCAAATGGCATATCCACCAATCTGGCTAAAGTCCATCTGTCTCTCTGGCTCCTGTTTTGACATTCTGCTCACTCTCCCTTATCTGAGTCCTTTCTCTCACCCTACTTCCACTAGCTCTCCTTCATCCCCCTACACACACAGTCCTTAGCAACTATTTTTTCTAGCTTTTTCTTTGTGCGTGCCTGAACCAGCACTAAAACAACAGCAAATCAATTGCTCTCTTTATGCTGTCAATTCTTTCTGCCCAGAAGTGATAAATATAGTTACAGTCCAATTATCAACTTGTTCCTGTTTCCAAAGGAATTCACATGATAAAGTGGATGAGTAAAGGCTTTGTGGACAGGAAGATCTCTATGTACATTCTACATGTGCCTCTGGCCTCAATTCCCTCAAATAAAGTAAGAGTAATTATAGCTAACACACAGAGTTGGTAAGAACAGAATATATTGGGCTGAGCGTGGTGGCTCACGCCTGTAATCCCAGCACTTTGGGAGGCCGAGGCAGGTGGATCACGAGGTTAAGAGTTCAAGACCAGCCAGGCATGGTGGCTCACGCCTGTAATCCTAGCACTTTAGGAGGCCAAGGTGGGCAGATCATGAGGTCAGGAGATCGAGACCATCCTGCCTAACACGGTGAAACCCAGCCTCTACTAAAAATACAAAAAATTAGCCGGGCGTGGTGGTGGGCGCCTGTAGTCCCAGCTACTTGGGGGGCTGAGGCAGGAGAATGGCATGAACCTGGGGGGCTGATCTTGCAGTGAGCTGAGATTGCGCCACTGAACTCCAGCCTGGGCGACAGAGCGAGACTCCGTCTCAAAAAAAAAAAAAAAAAAAAAAAAAGAGTTGCGTTGAGACCAGCCTGGCCAACATGGTGAAACCCTGTCTCTACTAAGAATACAAATATTAGCCCGGTGTGGTGGCATGCGCCTGTAATCCCAGCTACTCGGGAGGCTGAGGCAGGAGAATCGCTTGAACCTGGGAGGTGGAGGTTGCAGTGAGCCGAGATCGCACCACTGCACTCCAGTTTGGGCGACAGAGCAAGACTCTGTCTCGAAAAAAAAAAAAAAGAACAGTATATATCAAGCACCTGCTGTACAGTGTACAGCAGTTTATGTTCATCTTTTGTCTTCAACACTAAAAAATTACAGTCTCTTTTTCTAACAAAGTTACCGTTTACCCTTTAAATCTCCACACTCAGTCTTTTTAGACTTTTCATTTCCCTAGAATGTATTTCTACCATCAGTGCCATCTCAACTCTAAGCACTTGTCCCATGTGAACTGTGGCCATCTCTAATTATGTGGCCACTCCTTCACTTTGTTTTTCCATAACATTTATCCCCTGCTCATCTTCACTGAAAGCTGTTTTTTCCTTTTCCAGCATCACTTGTCATGCAGCCCTTCTAGTTGAGTCCCTCATTTTCCCAATGACCCAAAGTCATAGGCCATGGAGAAGGACTGGTTATTCTCCTTATCTTCATTTTCCATTCTTCTAAATAATCTCTCATATTTCTAAGACTACCATATTATATTTTGTCTTTTCCCTGATTTATTTCTAATTTGTACCAGTTTCAGTAGTACTCACTGTACAGACACATGTGATCCTGTATCACATGTCCTCATTTTAATGGCAACCACAGCTGCATTTTAAACTCAGACTTATCTCATGCTGCTAGCAACTGACGTCTTCTACACACGACAGACTATACTGGGCTCAATATGAGCACGGCCAGGCCATATAGAGGAGTTAGGTCCCCAGGAGCCCCCACAAATACTGAGGGATTAGAGCTAATAGAGAAATACTACAATGGTCCTTATCTCAAATGCGTAATTCTGGAAAGCATCCTAGATACTTCCTAGAGGTTGCCTGGATCAAGCCCCCATGGCTCACACAAATTATCTCAAAAATATTCTGATATTGGCTGGGTGCAGTGGCTCACGCCTGTAATCCCAGCACTTTGGAAGGCCGAGGTAGGCAGATCATGAGGTCAGGAGATTGAGACCATCCTGGCTAACACAGTGAAACCCTATCTCTACTAAAAATACAAATAATTAGCCGCATGTGTACTATGCGCCTGTAGTCACAGCTACTTGGGAGGCTGAGCCAGGAGAATCACTTGAACCTGGGAGGCGGAAGTTGCAGTGAACTGAGATCGCACCACTGTACTCCAGCCTGAGTGACAGAGTGACACGCCATCTCAAAAAATAAATAAATAAAATAAAATAAAATAAATTCTGATATTAAATCTTCCTACTTCTTCATCTCACTTTCCTTGTCTCCTCACTTTACCTTTTTGGAACCATATCTCAAATAAACTGCCTACACTCATGTTTGTGTATATAGGTTCTCCTATTGGGAGAATGCAAATTAAAACACACACACACCCTCAAGTATGTGAGCATGTGACACATTATCGCTATCCCTCTTTTGTCTCCTGTAACCTAATAACATGATCAAGTCCCCTATTTCTTCTCTATTTTTTTTTGCATCCTGAATAACTCCAGATGTCACTTTGTGTTAAAATATATTGAAGAAGTAGTTCTATGTTACAATTAGCTTCCTCACAAGCTGTCCATTCTTTATTCATGTAGAAAACAGTTATTTTCCTTGCTATTCTCTCAAACTGCTTCTTAAAATGTATCAAATATTCTATATGCCAAATTCTATAAGCCATTTTTCTCATTTTCTGTTCTTATTCTCCTTGACATTTCAGAGCTTTGATCACATAGCAAACGTCTAGTCATAGTGTCACAGATAGGAGAAATGACAGAAGAGGAAAATCAAAGAGAAAAGGAATGATCTTCTCAAAGTGATACATGGGTAGATATACCAAGCAATGATCTGGAATGTGCACAAGATTTACTAAAGCAATGTATTAGTCATTTTTGCAACTGCCAAAGCCCCTAACGGAAAAATAAAAACATGAAGTGGTAGGTGAGAAAGCTAAAACATTAAGTGAATGATAAAAGGTGAGCACATATGGATTTTTATAAAGGCTAAAGGCCACTTGAGGATTTGATATTTCTCAACAGAAATTAGCATGTCCCATGCAAATATTTCTGGCCTTCTTTGGTGCACACTACGAAGGAAGGGAGAAATTCAGTGTTGCACATTTGCCATGGTTGCTGAAAGCAATTTTCCCTTATTTGAAAACAAAAAAATTTAATGTAGAATTGGTGACAGAGTAAAGAGGAAAAATCAAGAATAGAATATTGTATATGGACTAGGCATTAACATGCACATAATAACAATTTTGTGAAATGAATAATAATATTGTACAGGGGGTTGGAGAGAGAGATGCAGCATGGATAACCTTGACCGAAAAGCTGAGAGCACCATTTTCAAATCTAATACTGTCTAAATTACCATGGACATTTCTCCCGTCAGTCTATTTTTATATAAGTGCAGGTCATTGTTTTACTTAAAAATTGTACTTTTATTGTTCACTTACCTTGCTAAAAATACTTATAAGCTCAGTAGAAATTGCAATCCTTTTAATATTGGAGTGTTTTCTTAGCCTTACATATTTGGCTTGCTTTTTCAAAATGCATGTTGCTTGATGTGCTTTTAGAGAGATTTGGCTTCACTGTGATTAGAACCATTACAAAGGTATGAAGCTCCGAAAACAGGTTCATAATAGAAATCTTGACGTAACCTTAACTATAGGTGACACTGAAATAAATAGTGTCTCTGCTCTGGCTCTGAAGCTGCTTAGTTAAGTGGAAAATGGCTGTGTTTGCTGGGTGTGCAATCACATGAAAGAGTTCAGCAAATTGTTGAGAATGCTCTGCTACCAAGTGCTTGTGCACATGCACCATTTATGCAGGAATAGACATATTTACATTTGAGATTAACTTGCTGATTCTGTGCTTACATTTATAAGACAAGCTTTGAAATATAATGTTTAATTTACATTTCTACTGTAACAGAGTGGGACCTTATTGTATCCAAGGCAAGAGACATGTAGTATATTTTCCTCCTTAAAAGAAAAAATATGAATTTTGTCCACCCAAGTACAGAGTCCACCTATTTCGCAAAATCTTATCAACAAGATTTTCCCATTGTCATCTAATAGTTGAATCTCAATGTTACTGTCATCCTCAAACTCCAAGGCATTTTTAGAAGAACAAGGAGTACATGTCTTAGGAGTGGACTTCAGTAAACACTGAGGTTCATGTCTTACTAAATGCATATAACTTACAAAATAATTGTTCCTTTTCAAAGAATTGCATGGGCAAAAAGTACTTTGGTTTTACTAATGATCCAATATTTACAGGACATCTTCACATGATTAAAATGCAGCACAAATAATTGGGATTCTTAGAGTAGGAAAGTCCAATTTTAGCATATTTTAACCCAATTTTTATTTAGAGAATTTTCTGTTTTGTAGCTTAAGACTTATCTGATGTATGCTCTGCTGGTATTTTCTTTACTGTTGGATTACCCTTCATTTATTAAGTCTCTAAGACAATGTTCAACGCTTCATTTGCTATTTTGTTAACTTTTGGACATTCTGATACATGCGTGAATATCTTCTAAATTGTAAAATGATGTATAAATACAAGCAGTTATTAAAATCATATACAGTTATGGTCCTTATGACAAATAAAGGAAAGTTAAAGCTCGACTTTGGGTGATAAATACTTATTGAGGCCATGAGTACTCTGGTAAACACGAATTCTATGTTGAGATTTGTTTTCAAGTGTATAGAGTTCATTTATCCTGCTACTTTTTCAAGATCCATTATATTCTTCTTGCCTTACTCATTTTCTTACACAGTTTACATTTCATGGTATATTATTAAAATCAATTATTTGCAAATTCTTAACTCCCAAACTGTTCTGTGTTTATTGTACCAGTGCTCCTTACTCCCACTATTGTTAAAATGAACTACTGAGTACACCAAGTCTCTAATCATGGAGCTGAAAGCTGTCATGTTTTCCTTTGTGGACCCTGATCAATATACTTTCATGGGTCTTCTGCTCTCATCCTGTTTTCCTGCTACACATCTAAGAACTCTCTATTTCTTCAACATTTTTTCTTAGATTATATCATCCAATGTCTTCAAAGTATTTACTTTCTGTAGACCAACGACTCCCAGATTTTCTATCAATTTATGCCTTCTTGAATTCTTATATCCATTATATATCAGCAATTACTGAAGACATAAATAGGAGTCATTCTTGATTTTTAACTTTTTCTCACCACCCTGTTCAATTTTTTAGAAATTACCATTGAGGCCGGGCACGGTAGCCTCACAACTGTAATCCCAGCACTTTAGGAGGCCGAGGCGGGCAGATCACGAGGTCAGGAGATCGAGACCATCCTGGCTAACACAGTGAAACCTCGTCTCTGCTAAAAAATACAAAAAATTAGCCGAGCGTGGTGGCAGGTGCCTGTAATCCCAGCTACTCTGGAGGCTGAGGCAGGAGAATGGCGGGTACCCAGGAGGCGGAGCTTGCAGTGAGCCGACATCGTGCCACTGCACTCCAGCCTGGGCGACAAGAGAGAGAGACTCCATCTCAAAAAAAAAAAAAAAAAAAAAAGAAAAGAAAAAGAAAAAAAAGAAATTACCAATTAATGTACATTTCTTCTTCCCAATATTATCTCCTTTGGTGAAGCCTCCATGTTTGTTTTTTTTTTAATTTATACTACATTTAAACCATACAATTATTCTGTGTGCATTCATGCTTGCTTTCTTACAATATATTCGCCACAAAATAGCTATAGTCATCCTTTTGATCACTGCCCTAATTAACAATCTTCAAAGACTTCTAATAACACAGAGAGTAAACCCAAAATGCTTATAATGACCCCAAGACGTAAAAACAATAAGGATCAAGCATCTGGCTTCGCATCTGACTTACAAATAAAAGGCAAAGCCCTTACAGTGGCCTTCAGTCAGGGCCAGCAAACTGAAAAAGGCCAGCTGGTAATATTTCAGACTTTGTGGGCCATTCGGTCTCTGTTGCAACTACTCAACTCTGTTTCATAGCATGAAATCAGCCATGGACAATACATAATGAATAAGTATGGCTGTATCTTCATACAAGTTTATTTACTAAAACAGGTAGCAGGCTCCTACGTATAGTTTACTGATCCTGTACTAAAGTACTATATATACTGTGCTCCTCTAATACACATACACATAATGAATGGGTATGGCTGTATCTTCATACAAGTTTATTTACTAAAACAGGTAGCAGGCTCCTACGTATAGTTTACTGATCCTTTAGTGTGTGCATATATATATATATACACACACTAAATATATATATATAAAATATATATATACACTAAAGAAAATATATATACACTAAATATATATATAATATATAAATATAAATAAATACATATATACACACACACACACATAGGACTACATATATTGTGCTCCTCTAATACACACACACATACAGACACAACACAGGTGATGTTGTTTCTACTCTTCACCCCCTTGCTCACTCTACTGTAATGAGACTTATTTCCATGTTGTTTCTAAAATATGCCAACCACACTCCTGACTCAGGTCCTTTGCCAGGGTTTTCTCTGCTGTCCTTTTCTGGAATATCAGCAAGGTTTTAATCTTTCCATTCCTTTTTATCTCTTCTTATCTCCTCATTGAAGCTTGTTTGATCATCCTATTTTAAGTAGCAAACTCACTGCCTTAGCTTGACACTGCTATTCCACTTCCCTATTTGTTTTACCCATAATGAATAAAGAAACATTTGAAACAATTTAGATTTTACATGTTTAGATTTTACATGTTTGTTTATTGAGCCTCTCCCTGCATTATGAAAGCAGAGGTTTTGGTCTATTTTCTTTTCTGCTGCATTTTAATATCCCAGAACAGTGACTACAATATAGAAGATATTCAATTGATATTTATTTACCCCTTTTTAATTATAAAGCTTTGATTTGGAAAAAGAAGAAGATCTAAGATTTTTGAAATATATGTGGTATAAAGTACTTCAATAGAAGTTGACATATTTAGCTTCTGGTAACAGTGAGAAATTACAAGGGAAAAAGAAAAACAATACAGAATATAAACCTGTCTATCACGTAAACTTTGAAGTCACCCATATTTGATCCCCATTCATTTCTGTTTTCCTTCCCAGAAAAGGATACATAACTACTGATGGAGAATCAGACTCCATCAATTGCCAAGAATTAAAGATTAGCATTTTGTGGTTGTTAATTCATATCATCCCTGTTCTTTTAAATATTCTTTAAATTTTCAATTGGTACCAATTATTTAATATTTCAAAAACTACAAGATAAAAAGTTAGAATATCTTATCTAACTTTGTTCCACTTTTTGGTGACAACTAATGTTACTAGCTTGATAGATAGGCTTCCACAACATTCTTCCTCATGGTTATAAATACTTGTTTTTTTCATAAATAGGACCAAAATATTTATATTTTCTATGAGTTGTCTTTTTGCTTAACCACGTGGGGTAGAAATCATTTCAGGATAGTACTTATAAATATATTCTATTATTTTACTTTTTTATTGAGTTCAGTATAATGAATGAACTGTATGTGTGCAACCATTTCTTTATAGATTTTTTTTACATTCAAACAAAATAGCAGAAATAAATACTTTTCAACATACATTGTCATTATGGTTATATGTTAATAATTCTTTGGCTTAGACTCGTAGAAGTAGAGTTGTTGAAGCAAAGGACTTATACATTTTAATAACCTGTCAAATTCTTCAAAAAGCTATTTTAATTTATAATCCCTATAATCACTATCAGTGTTATGAAAAAGCCTATGTTTTGACAACTCAGAATTTATACTTTTATTTGCTTATCTAAGGTATACAATTTTAATTTAACTTTAAATTTCCCTATTTCATTTTAGTTTCTCTGATTACTAAGGATATGAATAATCTTTCTTTACATTCATTTGTTTTAAATATTTTCCATGAATATCCTATTCTTACCCAAAGCCTATTTAATTTTATTGCTTTGTCTTTTTAAATGTTGATTTACATATATATGTTAAACATTAAAATATTGTCTATTATGAACAAAAACTTTTATTTGAGCATTAACTTTTTTATTTTGTTTATGATTTATTTTTCATGGAAAAGTTTTAATTTATGCAATATCCAATTTGTTCATCCTTTCCTATATGAATTCTGAATGGAACTTGGAATTTCAGGCCTCAACACTTCCTTACATCTCATTTCTTTTACTTTTAGTGTTGAACACAGGTGTATATAGAAAAAGTTTGACCTATAGATTTGTAAAAAGATAATTTATTTTATAAATTGGAGTTTCTTTACAACTTTTTTAAAGGATTTTGGCTTAAATTGGTAAATCATTACATATAAAATATATAAACTATCATAAACAGTTATTCTTTCATTTTCTGATTTTCAGCATATAATACAATATAAACCAGTAAAATAACACCTGGAAAACTCAGTTGTAAGAGCTTTGTAAACATGCATATTCTCAGGTTCACTTCCAAAGTATGGATTCAATAGTTTGGTAATTAAGTCTGGGAATACATTAGCAAGCACCCATGGTTATATTCTTAGATATTCTGATCTTTGAAAAATCTCACTTACGATTTTTATACAATTGTGATTATTAATGAGAATTCTATTAGTTTTTGTACAAGTAATACAAAGAAAATTGTATGAAATGTGTATTCAACATCCCAACGAAAATACAAAATAGTAACCAGGAAATAATTTATAAGCCAACTGCAAAACGTGTAAGTGTCAGAGACTGTTTTTCCATGTATGTAATAGTACATAGCACAGATGGGTTTGCTTTTGACATCTGTGAATAGAAACTAAAATTTTCCTCTTAGAAATATAGCTTGAACTTACAAAAAAAGCTTCCTGCTGACCTTGATATTATCATTCTGTCTATTTTCTGGCCTGTCTCCTAAAACATAAATAGATAAGAAAGCTAGAGAGATATATCCTACCAGAATCTTTATAACTTTTGTTTAGAGAGCATATGTGTAGGCATGTTCAGTTTTCCTTTACCTTGCCAAAGTACTACTGGGGACATTTCAGGGATATTTTGACAGATGCAAATTATTACACCAATGGTTATATATAGATTATGAGATGTAGAAGTAACTCCAGAAAACAGGTCCTGTGTTAGTCCTTTTTCACATTGTTAAAAATACTTGAGACTGGGTAACTTATAAAGAAACGAGGTTTAATTGGCTCACAGTTCCATAGGTAAGCATGGCAGTATCTGTTTGGCTTCTGGGGAGGCCTCAGGAAACTTAAAATCATGGCAGAAGGCAAAGGGGGAAGCAGGAACATCTTACATGACCAGAGTAGGAGGAAGAAAGAGAGGGTGAAACTGCCACATACTTTTAAACAACCAGACCTCAGCACTAGGGCAATGGTGCTAAACCATTAGAAACCACCCCCATTAGAAATCACCTCCCACCAGGCCCCACCTCCAGCTTTCAGGATCACATTTCAACATGAAATTTGGAAAGGGGCACAAATCCAAATCATATTATTCTGCTCCTGGCCCCTCCCAAATCCCACGTCCTTTACACCTTGCAATATAAAATCCTGCCTTCCAAACAGTCCCTGAAAGTCTTAACTCAGTCTAGCATTAACTCAAAAGTCCACAATCCAAAGTCTCATCTAAGACAAGGCAAGCTTCTTCTACCTCTGAGCCTGTAAAATAAAAAACAAGTTAGTTACTTCCAAGATACAATGGGGGTACAGGCACTGGGTAAATACTCCCATTCCAAAATGAAGCAGTCAGCCACAAAAAGGGGGGCTACATGACTCATGCAAGTCCAAAACCCAGCAGAGCAGTCATGCAATCTTAAAGCTCGAA